>NC_000007.14:146276561-146428076 GCF_000001405.40 Homo sapiens
TCCCTACTTGTGTGGAAGTTCCTGAATTCTGATGGACTAGATGGACACTTCCAGTTATGTCAGGCTGCTGAAGCCATAGCCTGCCCTGCCAACAGGCACCATGAAAGAGCTGAGCCTCAGCAGCCATGTTAGGTATCATGTGACTCTGTGCCTTGACCACATTTGAATGGACTGAGGTGAAAGAGTATGAAAGCAGGAACTGGCGGCATCCTATCATCTGAGCTTTAGCAAGAAGATGTGGACCCTGACAAATCAGATTCCTGTGCTTGGGTATTTAAATAAAAATACTAAATGACTGAATTAGAAGTGTAAAGAGAAGTTGCAAAGATACTGTAGTGGTTTGAATGGTGGCCCCCCAAAAGACATCCACCCAGTACCTGTGAATGTGACCTAATTTGAAAAATGTCTTTGTACTGGTAATTAAGTGAAAGATTTAAAGATGAGATCATCCTGAATTAAGTGGGTGGTCATAAATCCAATGAGCGTGTCTTTATGCAATAGACAGAAAGGTAGAGGACACACAGGAGAGGTTCATGTGAATGAAGGCACAGACAGACAGTGCACATATGTAGCCACAAACCAACGGAGGCCTGGAGCAACCAGAGGCTGGAAGAAGGAAGGAAGGATCCTCCCCTGGAGACTTCAGAGGGAGTGTGGTCCTGCCGACACCTTGATTTTTGAACTTCTGGCTTTCAGAACTGTCAGAGAATATGTTTCTGTTTCTTTCAGGCCCCACACTTTGTTACGGAGCCTTAGGAAACTAATATAAATACCTAGAAAGAAGAAATATATAGGAGTAAAAGTCATGAACGGCAGCTTGCAACCACTGATGTTACATTGAACAAGGAACTGAATAAACAAAAAGCTTTGCAGTAGGGAAATAACACAGTCTGGAGGAAAATACTGAGCCAGTCAGTGGTAAAAGACACATAGAATTGGATCATAGAGAGCAGCCACGTCACTTCTCTGGTTAAGTTCTGGTGTAAAGATACACAGATTCCTGCTCTTGATAATCCTGCTGCTTTGGAAGAAGCTTTTATTTCCTGCTTATCCATTAAGAAGTCAGGCATGTTTGGGGTTTATATTTGTTTAATCTTACAGGAAACTTCCCATCATTTCCTAAGGCTGAAACATTTTGTAAAGAATTGTAAATAGAAAATTGCAATATAAAACAGAAAGTAGTAAACAAGTCCAGCATGCCAATGAACTAATGGACTCCAAACAGGAACACTTGGTCTGGCTAGAAATTTCATGAAAAGCTTCCTGGATGAATTCATTAAATTATCCCTGGCATATCTTGAAAGTGGAGTGGGTACTTTTCAACTGACTAATAAGAGATGAAAGGACAAGAAAGAAAAATTTTCAAAAAAGAAAATAAAAAGAAAACTGAAAGCAGAGATGCATAAAATCATTTGGGTTATCATCTTACTATGTAACGGGATCGAGCTATGGGCACGTGAGGGAGACACAGAAGCAAAAGATACTGAAATGTTATTGTCAGCAGATTAGCATGCCCTGCCTCCCACAGACTTTTTTTGGTTCTATGATAAGCAACCTCTTGAGACAACTGATGTGCCTATAGTTTTAGATGGGCTAATACAATTCCATTCCTATGAGATTGCTTCAAAGTTACTAACTCAAGATATATTTGAGATTTTTCCATTTTGCCCCTTCTGCAGATAGCTGATGTAATTTCCTGCATTTCTTCTTCCCAATCTTTTGACAAAGTAAACATTTGAAATTCTGAGTGTCTTGAAATATAGGGAAACAAAGGTCTCTGTTCTTTTTTTCTGGAATTTGAATTAATGCCTTTTATGTAACATCAGTGTGAAGATGATGAATAAAGAATACTCCATAGATGAGAAATCAAAGGAGAAGAAAAGTTTAAAAAATATATGTGAAAATAATCTATAAAATAGTAATGTTCTATCAGACTCCCACTCACTAAAAAAATGAAAAAAGTGTGGTTTCTATTTAGTCCCTTTGGTTGTAAGTAAATGATGTGTCTAGTCTGTGCCAAACACTGTGCTAGCTTCTTAGTATAAAAAGGTAACTAAAAGCACAGCTTCACTCAAACATAAATTATGATTTAGTATGTCTTGAAGGTATCATTTTGCCTGACAGTATAAGCAAAAAGCAGAAAATAGTGATTGATTAACCTTATTTTGTAGTGATGCAGGAATCTAATAAACCCAAATTAAGGATTGAAATGAAGATAACAAAATTGAAGTAACCAATATTTCTGGTTGGAGCCCACTTTTATTACAGCGCTAAAAATAGTCATTGACATAAGAAAGGATAGATGAATGCCATCTTGTTATTTTCCAGCACTGAGATAGGTTTAGATGAGTATGTCGGAGATAGGAACATTAAGAAGTTGGTAGCCCTCGCACATATGATGAATAAAGATAGATCATTATAAATGGCTTCAAAACTCTTTTCTTCGAAGGTTCTTACTGGGCTTATTATAAAAGGAACAAAGATTGTTAGAAGATATGCTGTCTTCACTGTCTCAAAAACAATACTTTTTGAAACCTTCTCAAGAATATAGTGAAATGGATAAAGAACCTCTCTGAGAAACTCCTGTTGTCATTGGATTTTGAAAGTTGTCATAAACCACCTCTGTACCTAACCTAAATAATGAATGTTGTTGTCTTTGTTGTGTTTAAAATATAAGTATTGCTACCAAGTATATTACAATATTATGCTGTATCACTAATGTAAAATTGTGTTTTGTTAAAACAAAGTTATGCATTTTTATTGAAAATAAATATGGAATAATATAAATGTTTAGAAGCTGGTTAGAAGAAATTATTCATCTTTTTCATAGAAGTTCTTGTTACTTCATTAAAAAATTCATTTCCTTAAACACACACACACACACACACACACACACACACACTTCCACACACTAATCAGTTTCTGTGAACAGGTAACTTTGTAGTATCCTATTTGTATCCACATTTATATCCATGTTATTAGAAATTCTAATAATCTTATTTAAAGGTAGAAATTTCCAAGTTAAAAATTAATATTCAAGTTAATGAAAAAATAATTTGTTTAGAATTTCCACATGAATAAGACATAAAAATAATAAGTATAATTTATAAAAGAGGGAATAAAATTGCAAAGTACAGAAAAAATATAACTGTAGTAGTCATCAAAGAAATGCTAATTTAAACATGGACACAATTTTTCATTCAGCAAAATTATTTTGCAACCTTTTAAAAAATAATATGCATAATAATTTTTAAAACATGCTTAAGGAATCAATCAATAATTATAAATATATAAATAGGATATTAGACATCTAAAACAAACTTAAAAAAATATATAATGTAGAAAAAAGTACTATATACTAATAAGTGAAAGGAACTGTAGAATTATAAATTACTATACGTATCATATTATGAATATACTATAATTATGTTATAAATGTTAAAAGTTTAAACTAGATTGAAGTAACTATACCAACATGTTCAATTAGCAGTGTTTAAGTTAACGGTAGGATTTTTACTGTGTGTGCGTGTCGATGTGTGTGTGAATGTTTGTGTGGAAGTCACGTCTATCTTTTTTAGTAAAAGCAGTTGCTTTTATCAGAACAATTCTTGTCCGACCAAATCAGGAAACTCCAAAATTCAGCTAAAATATGACATATGCAAAAAACAATAGGTGAGAAAATACTTTCCAAAAATACTTTATGTAAGTGGAAGTGATAATTGTTGTCTTTGCAATGATCAAGAATGAGCCTTAAGTGAAGTAGTTGATACGAACTTTTATTTTCTTTCCTACTTTCTTTTTTTCTATATTTCTTCCTCCCTGTCAACAGGTGTCTGCCCTTTTTTCACGTCTCAAGGAATTAATTCCTATCTCACTCTTCTTCTGTCATCAATACTTGCCTTTTGATATTAAGGCCAGGTGAATTGCTGATCACTCCCTGCACTTGGCCGCTCCTATCTTGTCTTGCAGCCACATGAATTAGGTACTAGTAATGAACCCTCATTGGAGAGTCTGAGCCTCAGTGATTCTGAATTCTGTCTCCACATTATGTATCATTTGGGCAGATTTTCATAAGTAGGGTCATCGGCTGCCCACTTCATGCATGCTTTCACACCTCCACCCCTAGAATCTGATCCTTACTTTTCTGGAATATGGTTCAGGCATAGACATTTTCAAAGCTCCTGGGGTTGTTTGGAGGCCCAGCCAGCTTTACTAACTCCTGGCCTAATCCTACCAATAGAATCTCATTCTCTTTGCTACAGTGCTTGCTGCAAGCTTGGGAAGCTCTAAGCCATTCAGTGACCAGCCACAGGGACTGGCTCAGGAACCTTCTGAGCCAAAGAGACACCATGCAAGATTACCTGAGGAACTTCTCAGGGTGAGGATGGGAGCAGAAACTTCCTTTTCCTTTCCTGAACATTTCAGAAGTGACCGTCAATTCCTGGAAACCTTGGCCATCTTGCTCCCTCTGTGAGGATGAGGGTTGACCTACAAGAATTACAGAGAGAAGGAGGCAGAATTCTACATGGGCCAAGGCGGGTCACAGCTCTATGTTTAATTTTTTAGATCATCTGAACCAAAATATATGCATTTTTCTGGTGTTAGTTCAAGTTTGATTTTTCTGTTAAAACGAGTACATTCCAATGAACACAGTTTTTCTTCACACAGAGGTGTAAAAAATTGATATGACATAATATGATCCTATAACCAGAGGTATTTTCATTTTAATAAAGGTTGAGTAACTTCCTACTAAATAATAAACCTTTTATGGTAGAATTTTAAGCATCGGCAAGCTGATGAGGTAAAGAGGGTACTTTCCTGGCATTTCTGAAATCAATTTTAACTAATTGAACACTTAACAAAAATATATTGAAATTGAAGGACTCTGATTCGTACCTCAGTCTTAGCTTTTCACTTACCTCGTGTATGACTTCAGTTAAATTACTTAATTTCAGCTGGGCGCAGTGGCTCACGCCTGTAATCCTAACACTTTGGGAGGCTGAGGCGGGTGGATCACAAGGTCAGGAGTTTGAGACCAGCCTGATCAACATGGTGAAACCCTGTCTCTATTAAAAATACAAAAATTAGCCAGGTGTGGTGGCGCATTCCTGTTATCCCAGCAACTCGGGAGACTGAGGCAGGAGAGTCACTTGCACCCGGGAGGTGGAGGTTGCAGTGAGCCAAGATCTCACCGTTGCACTCCAGCCTGGCAACCAAGTGAGATTCCATCTAAAAAAAAAAAAAAATTACTTAATTTCTTTAGGTTTCCTTACTTGTAAAAGTGTAACTATATCATAGGATTCTAGTGAGGATAAAATATGAAATAATGTGCATAAAATTTATTAGTGTGCAGTGGCTGGTGAATTAATAAAGATGGGACATTCTATTTTATTATAAATTGTACCTTACCATATGCCTATATGCTTTGTTCCTCTTAGTAACATAGTAGAGACCTAAAAGCCCTAAAATCAAAAAGTAAAGGAAGAGGAGAAAGAAAAAGTTTATGTTAGCATTGCTGTTTGAGTCTCCACAGATGTATGTTCATCAGTGCTTGCCTATTGACCAGTCTTTTATTTGATAGCTGGTAGACATGTGAACACACGCCAATTGTGTATAGACTCATGACAATGCTACACCTAAATGGTCTCGCTTATCCGTGATCTTTCACCTCTGACCGGACGTTTGTATCTTTTGCCCCCAACGTGGCAGCTAAAAAGGCAAAGGAGAAATGTTTTAAAGCTCCAAAGCAAAGCTTGGTTCTCTGATGCTTGCAGACACTGTCTACATACCTAGCTCCATCGACTGCATCTGTGACCTTGTCTGTCTCTCCTCCTGGTATGAAATGATTATATGTAGGCAGAGACTTTCCAAACCTGCCAACACTTTGGATAATTGTTAAAACAGGTTTAATGTGTAGGTGAAATCCAAACCAAAAGTTAGGACACAGAAAAGTGATTCAGGGAGGTGCATTTATACTATTTCATTTGATATTAATGAAGTTTTAAAAACTGAGATTATGTCCTAGAGTAACATATGTTTGCTCTCAGAAAAATCACTAGATAAGATAAGGGACTATTTAGGAGTAAGTTCCTGAGACATCTGGAATTTTCTATCAGTGATACCGTTCCCTATCAGTTAAAGGTAGGCTACAGTTTTAAAATGGACAAAATTCTGTGTATGAGTTTTGAGTAATAGATACTGTGGCTGTATTCTTAAAACACAGAATGCTCCAGTAATAGGTCAGAGTATTTGAAGTTTTGAAACATCCTAGTGAAGTTTGAACTACACATTGCTGAAGTTAGGACTGCTGTCTTCTACGTGGCACAGCTGAATTTGGTAGATGATTCCAATGATTAATTTTAATATTAAAGTTTTACATTTTAAATAAAACATGATCCTGAAACTAGAATATCACATCTTCAAATATTTATAAAACGCTGTGTCCTAAGTCCTAGCAATTATTGTAAGACACATAACATTGCCTGAAATTATTTAGATGGACACAGTGAATGTTTACGTAACCTTTTAATAGGAAACTCGAGTTTTGTGTTCTCTTCAATACAAGCTAAGACACATTTCTAACTAAGTTGATATTTAAAATACATACCACCTAAGTGAACACTTTGTAAGTTCAAATTTGGTATTATTGTGAAAACTTAAAAACATCAAATATACCTTTGAAAGTTTCAAGTGAATATTGACTCCTAAATGAGTATGAAACAGATCAGACAATTCCAAATCTCTATTTAATTCAACATTTATTTATACTACTAACATCATGGGAGAAAAATGAGTGGTTCTGTTTTTCGTTTTGTTTTGTTTTTTTAACAAGGTCTTGCTCTGTGGCTCAGGCTGGAGTGCAGTTGTGGGATCACAGGTGAGTGTAGTCTCAACCTCCCAGGCTCAAATCATCTTCCCACCTCAGCCTCCCGAGTAGCAGGGACCACAGGTGTGAGCCACTGTGCCTGGCTGGTTCCAGATCATTTTAAAGAAATTAAGATGTATTTATTTGTTTTATTGGCAATTCTTAGTTTTATTTAGGAATTGATTCTCAAAGTAAAGGTGCTAGCAGGATATGGAAAATGAAATATGGGAAGAAAAACTTAAACCTATTTTTAAAATTTTTATCTACAAATAGAAATAAATTAGGAAATAATTCGGCTTTGTTCATATTTAATATATGGATAGACACTGGTGTTTCCACTTCCATATGTCACATGATCATATTTTATGTGTGGTGCCAAGGTTTCCCAGGGAGAAGATGGGTTGACTACACACCTATTGTATTTGTCTTCTACGTCTTCTAAAATGAAAGGTGGCTAAAGAAGATTCTTAAAAAAAGTCTCAGAACCAGTCTTACAATAAAAATGCAAACAAAATCAACAAGAAAATGACAGGGTTGTTATTTATACTCCCAATACAAACTCTTTCTTTGTCACATCATGAGGTAAAAATCAATGATGATTTACAAGAGATTGATCAGAGATAAAAAAATTACCTAGAAAGCAATTTGAAATGTGAATTCATCCACTATTGTTATTAAATCTGACTTTGTATGTGTATTATTGATGATTAGCTAGTGTTCGTTTTAGAATGGAAACAATGTGTAGAAATAGAAGCATTATTTTTCAAAACACACATTTTGGGAGAATGTAAACTCAAAATTGTATCGTTAGCATTGCACAATCTAAAATATTCGGAGATGAGTAATGTAGCGCCAAAGTATATTAAAATGATTTCACCTGGTGGCTAAAATAACACCAAAAACAATTTATAGACATTTTATAATTTATCAATTTCTTTTTAAATATATTATATATTAAATTACATAAAAGCTTTACAAGGTTGATGCTGTTTTCCCCACTATATAAATGCAATAATCAAGATTTTGAAAGATTACAACTTGTCCATGGGCGTAATTAATAAATAGAACAGCATAATCTGATTGCTGATCTTTTGATTTTAAATTCTATATTTTTCTAGCTTCCAGTTTTAGTTGCACACAATCTACTTAGCTAAAACTGAATTTGGTTAATTGTCAACCAAGACTCCAAAACATCTTTGTTATCTGATGTTCTTCATTTTTACTTTTTAAAAATAATTGAAATGTCACTATTATATTGACAGTAAATTCACCAGTTGTTCGATGAGATTAACCTTCTTAAAGGATGATCAAAGCATGCAGTGAAGGGAACCTGACGGGGTTTGACTGCTCAGTTTATCACTGAACAGGGCACAGGTAGGCTGAGTGATAACACCACTCGTCTCTGATCAGGGACTCATTTGTGCCATCTGGATTAGCAAAGATTTCCCTTCCATTTCTCTGCTCCCTGCCTCCCACAGGCTATGACTATGCTTCTTGTGGTTTCATCGCTTGCTGCTGAGCGGTGTTAATAACTACTTGACATTTGGTTTCCCAATGATGTTCACCCAATTTTTCTCTAATATACAGATTCTCTGCAACACTTCTCACAGTAATTCCAGTGCTGTAGATATTTCTTGGACATTTATACAAAACATTTAACTTGTTTCCCTGTAATAGATAGTGTAAGTTAAGGTTCACAAAGAGGAACATAATTTGCAAATTTTAAAATTGTCCTCCCTTTACTTTAAGTAGGTAAAAATAAAGATGCAATTGACCCTGTCGATATTGACTTCATAGAGACATGGATATTAATATGTAAAACAATAATCTAAAATGAGTTTTGAAAAGAGGTATAATATAAATCCTTAACTAATTAACCTTGACTATCATAAGTGCATTCACATTTCACTTGCTTATAGTCCATGACATGGAAAACTACTCAATCAATAGTTATTATACAGAAACATCTGAATCAGGCATAAAGAATTTGGCTAACATCAATCCTTTATGTTAGTGAAAACTGTAAAAAATTTGTATACCACCGAGAAAACATTTAAGGTTTTATTAAGAAGGTTTTATTAAGAAGTGAACTATTTTTAGGTAAACTGTGAATCCTTGGGAAGAAAATGTTATCTTTCTCTTTTGGAGTGGAGGTGTCAAAATTTACAAATTAGGGTCAATAGTAGACTAGAGTTTGCTTCACAGTGACCAAGCTGAAGTTTTCTTTATTTTTCCCTCCCTCCCCTCCTCTTCCCTCATCTCCCTTCCCCTCCCCTCCCCTCCCCTCCCCTCCCCTCCCTTCCCCTCCCCTCGCCTCCTCTCCGCTCCTTTCCCCTCCCCCCTCCCTTCCCCTCCCCCCTCCCCTCCCCTCCCCTCCCCTCCCTTCCCCTCCCCTCGCCTCCTCTCCGCTCCCTTCCCCTCCCCCCTCCCTTCCCCTCCCCCCTCCCTTCCCCTCCCCCTTCCCTTCCCCTCCCCTCCCCTCCCTTCCCCTCCCCTCCCCTCCCTTCCCCTCCCCTCCCCCTTTTCCTTCCTTCCTTCCTTCCTTCCTTCTCTGTGTGTGTGTGTGTGTGTGTGTGTGTGTGTGTGTGTGTGTGTGTCTCTGCCTGTCTTTCTGTCTTTTTTTCAAGGAGTTGAAGTTTCCCAGGCAGTTGGTTTATAGGGGGGACTCTCTGGTTCATGGGCAATCGAATTTCTTACAACATAGTCTATGTGCTGAGGTGGGGAAAGCATGGGAGATTTGGAATCAGACAGAGCAAATGAGCTCATTTTAATCCCTAACTAACTTTGTCACTTGGGAGAATTATCTGCTTTATCTGAGTCTTAGTTCCTTCCTCTCTAAAATGAGAACAATGATAACTTCTCTCTCTCTCTCTTTTTAACTTTTGATGTTTCATTGATTGTACATAAAACCTCCATAATAAGAGCTGAGTTCAGTCCAATTGTTGGTGACCGTGCAAAGCTAGACAGTGGTAAATTCATCAGGGTACATGCCACTTAGTCACACTAAGTCTTTGCAATAGAAACTTCTGCAGAGACCAGTCTACCTTTTTTTGTTGTCTTTAGAGCAATTTACCAAATCATTAAGAACTTTGCTTTTCTTAACACTTGCCATCTTCATACTCAGCCAGAATGTTCTTTTCAAACAAAAATGTGATTTTGCCACTCCCTGTTAAAAACCCCTGAATGACTTCCTGTCATTCCTGAGACAACAGCCCAAATCCTGAATACAACTTCTAGGGCCTTCCTTGTCTGACCTCATCCGACCCCTACAGAAACAGAGCCATGATCCATAAACGTTCTACTGTTCACCTCCCTGACTGTGGAAAGTGATTGTCCTTCAGTCTTGACTTGACCCAGTGCATTTCTTTAAATCTATATGTAATAATCAGAATATAGGAGCTGAGCACAGTGGCTCAGGCCTGTAATACCAGGACTTTGTGAGGCTGAGGTGGAAGGATCACCTGAGGCCAATAGTTTGAGACCAGCCTGGCAACCTAGGGAGACCCTGCCTCTACAAAAACAAAACAAAGGAACAAACACAAATTCCCCCCAAAACAGGTGATGAGAACGTCCCTCTGGAGCAAACAGAACAACCTCAATAAGAAGAGCAAGTATTGCTAAGAGTCACCTAAAAGCAACTGCAAAATGAATGTGAACTTAAAGTAAAAGCAAATAAGGTAGACAGGGACATTTCTGTTGTTACCACCTTTTTCTAAAGAATAAAAATGTTTTTAAATTATTCTTTCTGCCTTTTTACAAACTAACAAAATTTGATCTTCCTGGGGAGTGGGAAGGAGGGATGACTCATACTGCTGAAACTCACGTGAGATCAATTTGTGTGCTCTAAGATCAATTTAATAATTTACACTGGAAATATCTCTTCAAAGTAGGTGTCCCCACTGGGACATTAAATTAGCATTGGAAGGCTTGCTTGGCGAATATTGAGGCTGACTTAGGCAGGTGCTGAGAGGCAGATAAGCCTTCTGAACGTAACAGGTTGCCTGTAGGGGCAACTTCTCCTTAGTGTTTTGAAGACATATTATGATTTTTCTCCTCCCCACAATCCTTGTTTGCAAAGATATGAGCTTATTTTCCAACTCATTCTTACCTCCATGTTGACCTCAGGAAAAAACTGAATGCTTCAGGGAGAGAGCTTTCAACAGACGCTCATCTTTTCTTAAGGCTTGTGACTTCTAATCACAAGCCTCCAACTAAGCAAAATATGCTTACATACACAGATACTGCCTAAATGGGGAGATTATATTTAGATATATTTGAGCGCATAGAGTTGATATGACAAGATTCTCAAACTAAGTAATTTTCAAGTTTACTAGAATTTTGCTGCTTAAAGTTCCTGTTAATACAAGAAAGGACCAGAAGATATCTCATTTGAGCCTTGGAATTCTAACTTTGTGTTAAAAATTATTGTTATCTTACCTGGAGAAAGACATCTCTAAATGCTTTGTAAATGTTACATCTGCTTAAGTAGAAGTATAAAAATAGTTGTCTCCAAAAATTTAAATTTGTATTAAATTTTCTCTTATGTCTTAAAATTAGAAAATCGATTCCTATGCACTTAAACAAGTGATAAAGAATTTGTGTTTTGGGCCAGGAGCAGTGGCCCACACCCATAATTCCAGGATTTTGGGAGGCCTAGGTGGAGGATTGCTTAAGACCAGCCTGGGCAACATAGGGACCCCGTCTCTACTAAAAATTAAAAAATTAGCCAGTCCTGGTGGTGTTTGCCTGTGTTCCCAGCTACTCTAGAGGCTGAGGTGGGAGGATTGCTTGGACCTGGGAGGCCGAGGCTACAGTGAGCTGTGACTGAGCCACTGCACTCCAGCCTGGGTGACAGAATGAGATCCTGCCTCAAAAAAAAAAAAAAAAAAAAATTTGTGTTTTCTTGGTTTGACCTTTGGAGTGTACAAGAAGGCTTGGAAGTTATAGAAAAGTTAATTGTTTTTGGTGATTTCAGAATATGTACAGCAGGTCTTCAAGTCTTTGATAGGTTCTTAGAAACTGTGACTTTAAGTGAAAGGCTGTATAGCAGGCCCTCAGATAATGTTGTTTGATTAGACGTTGTTTTATTATAACGTTGATGAGAAAAAAAAGTGTTTTATTTTATGCCATTTTACTTAAGTCCCAGTTTCCAAAAACCTTAAGGACTTACTCTATTTGAAAAATGAAATGAATATTATTAATATTAATATTTGTTGACTGAATAAAGCTGTGTAATAGCCCAATAGGCTAAATGTTTAAAATCAGGAAATTACAATTACTACTGTATTTTACAGAACTGTAGGTCACTTAATTACTTTTGTAATCTGCCTATAAGTGTAAAGGCAAAGGGTAGAGTAAAATTAGTAATTTTTTTTTTTTTTTTTTTTTTTTTTTTTGAGACAGAATCTAGCTTTGTTGCCCAGGCTGGAGTGTAGTGGTGCACTCTCGGCTCACTGCAACCTCTGCCTCCCAGGTTCAAGCGATTCTCCTGCCTCAGCCTCTGGAGTAGCTGGGATTATTGGTGCGCACCACCACCCTGGCTAATTTTTGTATTTTTAGTAGAGATGGGGTTTTATCATGTTGGCCAGGCTCGTCTGGAACTCCTGACCTCAAGTGGTCTGCCCGCCTTGGCTTCCCAAAGTGCTGGGATGACAGGCATGAGCCACCGCGCCCTGGCAGATGAATACATCTTATGCCATATGCCTGACCACTCCCTCAGACAAATGAGAACCAATGTAATGGCTGAAGAAATGGCTGCTTTTTTCCATTGACCTTGGTGCATAGTTTCTCTCCTCTCCTTACACAAAAAGTAAATTTAAATGAACAAAGTTAAGAAGGCATATTTTATGTTTATAAAGCTTTGATTCATGGTACAAAATACAAGTTTTCTTGGAGAAACAGAAGCTATTTAAAATGTAGAATGCAGAGAGTTGCATTGAGCCACATTCCTTCTTTTATCTATCTCATGGGAATTAACAGACAATGAAAATATTGACTGTGTTTATGCTTAATTTTCCCTCACCCTTAATACATTTTTCTGTTATGATTAATTACTTTCCTGTAAAATTTTGAATGAAATTATTTAAAGAGTGCTATAGATAAGTGTGTTTTTACTAATTTTCATTATTCACCATTGTGGTATAAAATCAACAGGTACAAGTCAAATTAAGCCCTGCTGTCTGCATGGGTACTCATTATTAAATATGAGCGATTTGGGCCTTCAGCAAACGACCATTTATATTCCAAATCGTATTTAAAATTAATTTACTCTTTTATCAGAACAAAGAAAATTTCACACACACAATCTCTTTTACTAAAAAATAAATTTTATCATAGGAAATTATCTCATTTTATATTCCAGAGCAGAAACATACAAAGGTGAGATGAATCTTTGTACAATATGTCTTTCTGTCAAACATTCTAAAACATTGTCAATTTCATTTTTTCTAGTATTTTCAATATTTATTTTGTGTTTGGCAATAAACGGAGCTAATACGACCACTTTTCTCTTATGCTTGGTTATTATTATTTTAAGAAATGAAAACTTATAAATCATATAGCTTGGAAGATTGCTGGCAGAATAAGAAAAAATAATTTTATCTTTTGTATACATGAAAAGTTTAAAATATCAAACTATAATAATTAGTAATTACATATGTAACCTAGGTTACATGTATGTATGAGGTATGGCTCACACCCATCATCCCAGGATTTTGGGAGGCCAAAGTTGGAAGATTGCTTGAGACCAGGAGTCCAAGACCAGCCTGAACAATGTAGGGCAACACATCCCCAGGCCTGGGTAATTTTTTATGGCTCCATTTAAAGAAGCAGCATGACAATGAACCTTAGATGTCATCCAGTTGAGTTCTCCTACTTGAGCATGAATCCCGTCTTAACCCTCAGTTTAGCAAACCCTATCAGTTATGGAGAGCAGATAAATCTCAGCCTACTTAAACATGAAGACAGAACTCAGAAACAGTTCTTCAAGGCGCTGCCCCTTGTTAAGCTGGTTCTTTAAGAAGCTTATCCGCCAATTCACAATTCTGAAGCACAGCAAAGCTGTTTCTGTATTGGTGTTAATTATTTATTAATGCAGTGAAAACACTTTAAATTCCTATTAAATTGTCACTAATTACTTGTGAACTAAAACGTAAGATGTTTAGTTTTTTGCTTCCTTCTGAGAAAATATATTTGTATCGCCATCTTTGAAGTCAGTTCTACTGTAAAGAGCGTGTATTTGGGAATCAGAAAAAACTAGATCGAAACTGTTTGTGTTTTATTGGGCAAGCTACTTAAACACTTTGAACATCATCAGGTTTTTAATTTATGATGTAAGAAGTTCAGACGAATGAACTGAGTTTATTTGCCTGCTTAAATTAAAACATATAGAATCCCTATGTTTCCCCCAGTCTACTCAAATGTTTTCATTGCAGTATCAATGCCAAGAATATTGTCACTGCATAGCAAAGCATTGGAGTGAAGTAGCTGATATGTATTGGATGACTTAGTTTCAAAAGCTGTTTTTCCTATAATACCGTAATTCCTTCCTCAAACGGAGGCAACAGAAATTGCAGTAGAGTTCCCTTGCCAACTACAAAATGTTCCATTTCATTCTGCTTTTCTCCATTTCCTAGAATCAGTTACATCAATTTGAATCTAACTAGACTAAGATAAAACATGATGAATATGTTTGTGAAATAAAAACTTGACAATAAATCCTTAAGATTTTTCTAAGAAAGAAGTTTATGAAACTTCAGAGAATAGGAGAATATTTCCTAATAAAAAATAGAAAGCATGTAAGAATATCTTCTGTCTTTTAATACAACAAACCAGGGGCCTGCAAACTGTATCTCATGGGCCAAATTCAGCTAGGTGCTTTTTTGCGTAGCCCTTGAGCTAAAAATGATTTTTAAATTTATAAATGATTGAAAGAATAAAAGGATAATAATATTTCATGGTGCATGACTATATGAAGTTCACGTCTCAGTGCCTATAAACTTTATTGGAACACAGCCATCCCCATTTGTTTATGTGTTGTCTATGTTACTTTGAGAGAGGTGAGTGGCAGCCACAGAAACCATATGTGTCCAATAAAGCCTAAAATATTTGCTACTTAGACCTTCACAGAAACAATTTGCTGCCCCATGTTCAATAAACAGCTGAAGGCAGGGATGGTATCAAATCTCAACACCTGCTTAAGTACTTGACACATAGATCTGCACAGAATGAGTAACAGCAGAAAGAATAGATTTAAAAAATTAAAATTATTTTCTCATTATAAAAAGGACCAAATATCTATAATTTTTAAAAAGCCAATAGACTTACACATAAGATCTGTAATGTAAAACTACTAGAAAAAACACAGGTGAATATCTATGAGGTATAAGTCTGGGCAATGATTATTTTGGATTTGACCCCAAAAGCATAAACAATAACAGCAAAGATAGACAAATGAGATTACATCAAAATAAAAATGTCGTGCACATAAAAGGAAACAATGGAATGAAGAGACAGCCCTATGGATTGGGAAAGAATATATTTGCAAGCCACATGTCTGATAAGGGGTTGATATCCCAAATATATAAGAAACTCAAACAAATATATAGAAAGAATACAAATAATTTGATTAGAAAATGGGCAAAGGAGCTGAGTAGACATTTTTCAAAAGAAGACACAAAATGACCAAAAGGTATATGAAAAAATGCTGAGCATCATTAATTATCAGAGAATGAAAATCAAAACCACAGTGGATACCACCTCACTCTTGTTAAAATGACTGTTGTTCCCCTCCCTTTGTGCATGTGTTCTCACTGTTCATCTTCCACTTATAAGTGAGAACATGAGATGTTTGATTCCCTGTTCCTGCATTAGTTTGTTGAGGATAATGGCTTCCAGCTCCGTCCATGTCCCTGCAAAGGACATGATCTTGTTCCTTTTGATAGGTGCAGCAAACTACCATGGCGTATTTACCTATGTAACAAAACTGCCCATTAGCACAGAACTTAGAATAAAAATTTTAAAAAATGAGTGTTATCAAAAAGAAACAAGAGAACAAGTGTTGGTGAGAATGTGGAGAAAAGGAACTCTTAACACACTGTTGATGGGAATGTAAATTAGTACAAGCGTAATAGCAAACAATATGGAGGTTCCTCAGATATTAAAAATAGAACTGCCATATGATTGAGCAATCCCATTACTGGGTATACTGGGAACTGAAATCAACATGTTGGAGAGATGTCTGCACTCCCATGGTTAGTGCAGCACTATTCAGCTTTACAAAAGAAATGTTGTCATTTGTGACAACAGTGAAATTGGAAAACGTTTTGCTAAGTAATATAAATTAGGAACAGAAAGTCAAATACGTTATACTCTCACGTATATGTGGAATCTAAAACAGTCAAATTGAAAGAAGCAGAGAGTAGAATAGTGGTTATCCGAGACGCTGGGAGAGAGGGGAATGAGGAGTTAATGGTCAAGGGTACAAAGCTTTAATTACACAAGAGAAATACATTATTCTTTGGGATATATTGTAAAGCATGGTGAATATAGGAAATAACATATTGTTATTTCAAATGTTCTCACCACAAAATATGGTATTTAAGATGATGAACATATTAATTAGCTTGATTTAATTATTCAATATTGTATTCACGAACTATAACACCAGTTTGTGTCACATAAATATATACAGCTATAATTTATCAATTTACAATTAAAAAATAAATGAAATAAAATTGGATTTAAATGAAACAGTGAAAAGTCTTCATATAGATGACAAGCACAATAACTTCATTTTAAAATTTATAATACCATGAACATAGGAATTCCCAGGAGAAAATTTAGGTTTATGAGACTATATCCATTGAAAACTCTGTTGGACATTTTTTCTGAAGTTGTTCAGTTTTAGACCTGAAACAATTATCTTTTATCATTTAATAAAAATGGATTAGAAAATCGCTCTGTATAATTAATAGTTTGACCTAGTCTTCTATGATGGTTTATTGATTGTTTCAACTCCAGAGCTGGCTAGCAACATGAAACTCTCATGGAAAACCTGTTTATAATGAAGGATGCTTCTGAAACAATATACACTATTATATCTTGATTGATAGTTAACATTTAGTAACTAAGTACACTAGTACATTTGACTTACAGGCCATCATTTTCCCTTAGGAGACAGTAACTTTGAGTCTATCCCATTCATCTCCTCTAGAACTTTGTCAAACAGAGGTATATATGGCTTTTGATGCTCTCCTTTCATTTCACGTTGTTCTTTCATGTTTGATTTGCTTAATGCTCATTGGGTTTCTTTTTAATTCCTCTAAATTATCTAATTTGAAAAAATAACTATTATTAATATACTCTCAAAAACTGTAGAAAAAATAATTTCTAAATAATTTAAAAGGTAAAAAATATCAACATGGAGACCTTCCATAATGTAAAAGTGGTTCTTTTTTTAATAAAGCCTTTTCTCTACTCATTTAAAAAAGTGGAGTTGGAGGGGCTGCCTTTCAAAATTTCCACATAAAAGCAACCAAAAATTTGTTCTAGGAGGAGCACTGATGGCAGTTTCTGAAAAGATTTCCGTGACACCTTAGATAAGAGTGAAAAAATCAACCCCATAAGGAATTTGTCTTCATTCACTCCATACTTTCTGGACTGGGCTTTCCCTTCTGGCTAGTGATTAGAGCTGACAGACAATTCGACAGAATCACAAAGTGGAGAAGTTCTTTTTAAATACAAGTTAATGGTTTTGTAAATTTAGTGCCTTAAGCAAAATTGAATTAAACATTCAGTCATTCATCTTAAGCATCCTTAAAAATTGAAAGCTTCACAATATGCCCAGAACCCAGAAATTCAAGTAACTTTTACCCAGAGCCTACCCAGCCGGACTGCGCAAAGGACTGATGAGACGAAAGGATATTTGGACGCTGCCCTCTAGGAAAGGTAGCCTAGAAGAGGAGAGGACACTAACAGACTAACGACTCCTTCAGAGGGGAGGACCACATAATCAGCCAATGTCAGCTGGCCCAGATCCAAACAGCTTTCTGCTTATGCAAACCTTGTGTGGTCGTTGTGTTAACTAATGCAAAGATATATGATTAATGTACTTGTCAGTGTCCTGTGTTTAGTTTTCTCACAAAACATTTCTTATATAATTGAGATAATTACTTTCACTTACAATGCCATTGGTTTAAGTTTTAATTGATAATGATGACTTTACTTTTCAGTTTACCACTATAGACTTTTATTTTTAGAGTACCATTCAGAGTCAGAGCCTGAACCTTAGAGAATTAAACTCACTTAAGATTGAAGTAGTAGTCATTTCATACTTTGTGTATTTATCCATGTTTTGAGCTAATTCCAGAATGTTGTCAGTCATATTGGGATGCGATATAGTAATTTGGTTTTTAAGTATGATTTTGGAACTCTAAGTTACTAAAATAGTAGCTTAATTTTTGTTCACCAAAAGAATTTATAACTGAAACTTCCATTAGAGATTATATGCTTTTTATTTACTACTTTTAGCCATTAACCAATTAATTATAAAATATAGAGATTTTATGTTTTCATCTACATATACAAAATTACCATTAAGATGAAAGTAATTGAATTGATTGCATATTCAGTTATAGAATTCCAAATTTAAGTAGACACAGAAAGTCATAAGTTTACATCTAAAAATTCACGAGGTAGTCAGTCATAGTCACTACATTTTAGCCAACTATGGAACGTGTACTATCATGTACTATGAGTCAGTCCCTGTACTGAAGATATCAAAATGAATTTGACAATCTGGTATAAAATCCAGGACTATTATTTGTACTGCCAGCCTCAGGGAGAGATGAATAAAATGGATTTGTAAGTTAGAGGCTGCAAAAACTGTTTTTTTTGGTTTGTTTTGCTTTTTGTTTGTTTGTTTTCCTGCAAAAGCATGTATTCAGGGTACAGGTGGTGGTTCTACCCTTCCAGTTTTCTAGGCTGGCTGATCTTTATAACTTGTTGTTCATAAAGATGTATGTAAATAAGCACCATGTCTCAAATTTAGATTGAGAATTGTTCTCCCAGAGTATTCAAATTTTTAAGAGATAAAACAATTAAAATCTAAAATATGTGATAATCTAAATACATATTATACCCCCATTCACCCATTAAAATATTTTTTCTTGCTAATAAAAGAAAAAATCGTTTTTATGGATTTTCCTATCCCTCAAAAATAAGGACAATAACATTTTGCCTATTTTTAAAAGATATTGGTTAGATGAATCTTGTAGATCTAGCTCAATTGTTCCCATTCTAGAAAGCTTAGAATTATTATCCTGAAAGCAGAAATAATTGTTAAAAATGAAAACATGAAAACTTTACATAAATGACTTCATTTTCACCTCGTAAACTTTATTGCACAGCACCGCACTCCAGCCTGGGCGACAGAGTGAGACTCCATCTCAAAAAAAAAAAAACAAAGAAAAGAAAAAAAGAAAAATTTTATTGATTTAGAATGCTTGACAGAGCAAAGTGAAGCTGTCCTCACAGGGTTAGTAAGTATTCTGGACAGAAACATAGTTATAATTAAGCATTAGTCAGGCTGTATTTTGACCTACTTCCTTACAACCAAAGTCACATAGCACTAGATACTGACCATTTGCATCCCATTGCTTGTATAGATAGGATTCTGATGTAGGATAGATAGGATCTCTGATGTTGGAATCACAAGGCTTTTTAGGAATTGCTTAAGCAGATCCTAAATTCCAGCAGAACAGCGGACCCCAGCCAGTTTGAAGACACTCACAGAGGAACTGAGTCACCTGAGAATAGTTTCTTTATCTCCCCATTCCATGACCTCACCCTGCACTCTTCAACCAATTCATGATCTCCACACTTTGGGCTACTTCAGAGCCTGTGAAAACCCTAGTCCCAGACTCCCCAAGGTGATGTGTGTGAGGTTTTCTCCTGTCTCCTCCTTTGGCTGCCCTGCAATGAAACCCCTTTCTTTGCTGCAAACTGGTGTCTCCATGTATTGACTTGTTGAGCATCAGGCAACAGACATATGGTTACAAAAGCAGAATTTTCTCTTGAGTATTTAGAGAGCTCCTAGGCTGTTCTGATTCCAGGCAGCAGACTTCAGGAGGTAGCATTTCTAATTTTCTATCATGATGTTAAGGGAAATATGCTGCCTGATAAGTGTTTGGATATTGGATATTGCATGGTTGTCCCATGTCCCAGTAAAACACACATTTTTGCTTTGTCCTGGTAATTAACAATACAAACAATATAAATTAATTTGGCCACGTATTTTAGTATAAATAACACAGTTACAAATAATGGTCTGTTTGTCATCCTGTCACCTAAATCTAAAATACCGAGATCCAGATGAAATGAAAGAGTGCACATTTTAAGTTGCATAAATTATATATATGTATGAAGACTTAAAGTTCAGATTTTCAGAAAACTAAAAAGTTCTTAATCATTTTTAGAAAGTAGATCAGCAAAGTACTGAGTTATTTTGTATAAAGATTAAAGCAGGTATTATCTGTGTGTGTGTGTGTGTGTGTTTCTGTGTGTGTGTTTGTGTTGTTCTAATATTAATAGAAACAATAGAAACAATATTTCTTTAATATTACTTTTCAAGAAGATAGTAAAAGCCAAGAAGTAAAAGTGTTTTAATTCTTGAGCTGTTAATTCAATTTTTTTCTTGAATGATTGAATATTATTTCCATCATTTGTTCATTGTAACATTTCCCAATACTTATAGATGATATATAGAAAAACAATTTAAATTGAAAATCATTAATTTCCCAGTGCATTTCCTAATATATCTATATTCAGATCTGTATGTTTTCTTGTTCCATAAAGAAAAAGATACCTTCGTTTTTTTCAAATTAATATCAAGAGCATTAAGTTTTATTGAACTAATAATCTTCAGTGTTGTCTATGGATTTAAATTCCATTTTATTGCCATTTTGGGAGACTAAAGACAGAAAGAGAAAAGGAAGAAATATAGATGGGTGATCAAAGTAGGTAAAACCATAAAGATGTGTGAAATAAAAGTGAAATAGAAGAAAGAGATAGCCAAATGAGGAAAACAAATCACAGAAGAGAATAAAGGCATGTAAAGCATACAAAACTAGAAAAAGTGCAGGAAAGAGAAAGAAATAGGTAGATAATATAGAAAAAGTTTTGAAAGTTTCAGTAAATATGATAAGGATTCCATGTAGGTAATAACTATCAGAGAGTTATAAATTTATATGTACTTCTTTGAAATGTATAGTAATTGGCATTAATAGCTTTTAGGTTATTCCAATGTTTATTTGTAGTGCTATACTCATAAGCATACCTTCTATAAATAAGCACATTCTTTATGCTAGAAAGATAATGAAAGCTCTATCTGGTAACTTGTTTTCCATGTTGAATGCTACAAACACACTCTCTAAACGTGTTAATGTGAATGTGTGTACCCTTGCATACACAGACACACACGTAAATAAAAAAAACTTTATTATATGAACTGCTAGCACAAATATGTGTATTTTGTTTGAAGAAATACTCTGGTAAGTTTCTTGACACTTACTATAAAACGTGAGATGCTGTGAGCATGAAAGAAAGTGGTCATTAACATACCCAAAGGAAGAGATGATCCTTCTATGCTATAAGGAAAGGAAACTATTGGTTTTCTTACAGAAAACAGGAGGTAGAATCAAAGAATAAGGCAAGGGAGGACAAGAGAAAAAGACAGTCTGGGACTTTGTGAAGAGCCACTATTTGCAAGTTGAATGTGGTTTTTTGCTTTGTTTTGTTTTGTTTTTCTTGCTATTATTGAGTTATTGTTCTGTGTTTCTTCACGAGTCTTCAAAAAGTCTATACTGTTCACAGTGCTTGGAGTGACAGGGTTTTCCTGCAGAAGGCTACACATTCAAGCATAAAAAAAGAATGTACAGCAGCTTAGCTCAAGAAACAGAAGATATTACTAGTAAATACATCACCCCCACAGCTTTAATAACTGCCCACCCCCTGCAAAACCTTAGGAAAAGTTTGGAAAGGATTTGACATCTATAATCTGTAAAGTTGCAGTAACAGCAGAGTCTCAAGGCAATTTTGCCTAAATTTCTGAGAAGCTGAGGGTCATGAGGTTGCAAAGCCTTCTGTCCAGATGTGGGGCTATCAGGGGATTTGGAGTTTAGCTTTGTTTGGTTGTTCCCTATCTCATCAATTTACTTTTCACAAAATCTGCCTCTGAACGTTCGATCCACTGTGAATATGTTTGAAGCATGTTTTTGAATGCATGTTCAACACTGGAGAAAGTAGATTACAGTTCTGCTCTTGGACAGCTCTGGTCCAGCACTGCAGGTGGTGAATGTAAGAGTGATAGTGATGTGATCTCTTAGAGAAGAATGATGTGTTAATTAATTTGAGGAATGGAAGAGCATGCCCTTGACAGTCACTGTGACTTGAGTTTGCGTGCTAGCACCTCCATTTGAGCTCAGATTTATTTACCTTGTAATTCCTGTAGAATATAGATGATATGCTGTACTTCAAAATTTCATTGTGAATATTAAAAGAAATAATACGGCCAGGTGTGGTGGATCACGCCTGTTATCCCAGCACTTTGGGACACCCAGGTGGGATCACTTGAAGTCAGGAGCTCGAGACCAGCCTGGCCAAGATGGTGAAACCCCATCTCTACTAAAAATACAAAATTAGCCAGGTGTGGTGGCATGTGCCTGTAATCCCAGCTACTTGGGAGGGTGAGCCAGGAGAATTGCTTGAACCCAGGAGGTGGAGGTTGCAGTGAGCCGAGATCATGCCACTGCACTCCAGCCTGGGCAACACGAGCAAAACTCCATCTAAAAAAATAAAAATAAAATAAGATAGAAATAATACACACAGTGTTCTTAGCAAATTCCTTGGTGCACAATTATATGGTAGTTATTATTATCAAAATTATAAAGCAGAAAAAAGTCTCAAAGCCAATGATTATTTATTTATTTATTTTAGAGTTGGAGTCACGGAGTGCAGTGTCACGATCATAGCTCACAGCAGCCTAGAACCCCTGGGCTCAAGTAATCCTCCCATTTCAGCCTCTGAATACCTAGGACTAAAGGCATGGGCCACCATGCAGCTAATTTTTTAGTTATTTTATTTTATTTTATTTTATTTTGTAGATACAGGGTCTCACTTTGTTGTCCAGGATGGTCACCAACACTGGCCTCAAGCAGTCCTCCTGCCTCAGTTTTCCAAAATGCAGGGATAACAAGCATGAGCCACTGCACCAGGCCTGGGAACTTACAGCCTAGTATATTCCGCAATTATGGAGGGGGTACGACTTATGTGAAACCTTCAGGAATGCATACCCTTTTAGAGAGAAATAAGTCTTAAGTTAGAGATGAGAAAAAGCATGGGAGGCTACCTTCTGAATATTGAAGGTAGGTGTAAGATTATAATGGTAGAGAATAAGTTCAGATATGAAGAATAGGCCTAGGTTATGGCAGACCTTGAACTTCAGAGAAATTTTAGCTAAATATGAAGGTTAGAAAGAGCCATTATACATTTCAGACCATGGAAGTAATATAAGCTGGTCGTTTAGAAAATTTCATCAATTGCGTTATGCAAGAGTAACTGAAGTTCAAAGAGATGGTTTTTGAGAAGGTGACTGGAAGGATTTGCAGTTATCAAGAAATGAGGTGAAGAGGACTTGGAGTAATTTTGGCTGAGAAAAATAAACCTTTACATACAGCTCTAAGTCTATAAGAACAAAGAATATATAACAATCCACATGTAGAGTATAAAATAATAAGAATGCTATCAGTAAAACAATAGTGAAAAAGAAGCATCACATTTAGTCCATAAATTAAATCGTGTCCTTAACTTAGTATAAAAAGATCTAAGGATTATGGTATAAATATTGCACACTTTTTATGTGGTGGACATGAAAGCAATTTCTGTGAGTTTAACCAATGGAAAATTGGTACTCTTGGATAAATGATTGGCCCTATACTTGAACCATTAAAAGAGAGAACATTAAACTAAGTAGACATAATTTTGAGAGTTCCACTACATTAAAATTGAAGAACAGCTTACTAAAAACAGCCAGACTTAAGGGTACCATATTGTATAAAAATGTTATATTTTCCATATTATAAATGGTTTGGCTGATAGATACTTAAGAGGAAAAATATAGCCAGAGTCTTTTAGGTTGGCCATATAGTTTCAAGTTTTCAAGTTATCGAAAATCAACCCATTTATTTATTTAAAACTCATACTCACCTGCTTGGAGACATAATTTGGAAATTTATAAGTTGTATATACAACTTCATAAAATCTGAAGAAATAAATCAAAATAGGCATTATTGAAAAGCAGCAACATAAATGTATGTCATTGGGATTCTACAATGGGTTTGCTGTAATTATATCGTACATTGATGTTAACTCTCAGTTTCCTGACAGCTAAAACAAAGAGAAAAAAATATTATAGGTATTAAAATGTTTATACAAATCATTTAAATCTGCAGAGACATGCATGCTTGTATTTAAGTGCTGAGGGTGGACTGTTCAACATAACAGATGATTAGCTTTCACCTGAATTTTACAAACATGCTATTTAAGGCAACAAATACATTAATTCTATATAGAAGTTAAGAGACCATACTTCAGTGGAGGGATTTCCTTAAGAGACCAGCAGACCCAACATTCCAGGTCAACAGAATCAAAGCAAATGCTGTTTATAATAATACAATTTAGGGATAGTTGTGGTAAATTTTAATGACATTTCCAAAACCAATTGGAGCCTATGCACCTTAATTTGAAACATTGTGAAATGGACTCAGGATTAATTTGAGAATAGAAGAAAAGAAGACTATTCCATAATTTCTTTTACAGAAAATTATTTATCTTCTTTCCATTTAAGAAGACATACATGGTGACCGGGCACAGTGACTCACGCCTGTAATCCCAGCACTTTGGAAGGCTGAGACGGGCAGATCACAAGGTCAGGAGATCGAGACCATCATGGCTAACATGGTGAAACCCCATCTCTACTAAAAATACAAAAAAAATTAGCCAAGTGTGACGGCAGATACCTGCAGTCCCAGCTGCTAGGGAGGGTGAGGCAGGAGAATGGTGTGAACCCGGGAGGCGGAGCTTGTAGTGAGCCCAAATTGTGCCACTGCACTCCAGCCTGGGTGACAGAGTGAGACTCTGTCTCAACAATAACAACAACAACAACAACAACAACAAAAAGATATACATGGTATCATTTCAAGACCACTGCCTACCTATAATGTCCAAAGTTGCATGAATGATCTCCAAATAAATGCACATGTACATTCACAGTGGTGCAAGGAATTTTCTGGAAGGAGCAAACATAAACACGGGAGGGACAGCCTGTGTGCTGGGTGTGGAAGTAACCAAAGAAATTGTTGTGGTATTGTGAAGGAGGTTGATGGTAAACCTCTTGTCAACTAATGAAAGAGGAATGATTATGGCTAAGTTGTAAGTTCCACCTCCCTCCTCATTTCCAAAAATTTCCTGTTCAAGCTACCTCGTAGGACTTGGAAAAGGTACAACTCTTCTTCCACTCTTTCTGAAAAATTAATGGGAGTCTGTTTTCCACAAGGATAGAAGAATATTATCCTGAGTAGTTTGTCAGTGGTTGTAGTGGATAATTTTTAGTGTACAGCAAAAATATAATGACATAGTGATAGGACAAATATTTTCTGCAAAGCAAAAAGAAAGTAAGGCATCATATACAATTTGTTGCTACATGACAAAATGAAAGATTTAAAAATTTAAAATTTATGCACCCCTTTTCAGTCCCATATAATAGAAGTTTGTTTTGTTATTATTTACAGATGATTTAAAAATATTTAGACAATCGCAACTTCTGTATCCATCAATTTGGTAAGGTAATATTAAATGACACAACTTGTCAACTAAGTTAGTCAAAATGGTTTATATATGTGATCTTTCATTCACTTAGTCAAAAATCTTAAGTGCCTATTGTATGGCAGAAATATTAACAGCTGACACATATAGTATCTATTCTATTTCAGAGATAGTATTAAATGCCTGATGTATATTAACACATTTAATCCTGACAAAGATTCTTCAAGATTTATGGAAGGAAAAAACTGAAGCAAAAAAGCTAAGTAATTTGCACAATATTGCGTATCTAAAACGTGTTGGAGTTGAGATATGAAAAGACAGTTCAACGTTAGAGGCCGAACTCTTAAACAGCACGGCATATGGCCTCTTGAGTCCCGAGTGATAAGCTCAGAATAAAATGTGGGTCAAACCATACAATTCCAGCCATAAAAGTGATGAATGTAGAGCTCTTACCATCACCATCATCATCTTATTATTACTATGTTATTACTTTGCTCTTACAGACATGTGCTATACTTCTGTTACTAGAAATTCATCTCTGGAGACATATTTGTTATTCAAACAGGTGAAAAAGTTATCCCCATAAAAATATGACCTTTGTAATAAATGTATTATTCAACAAGAGTTACCAGTTTTCTGTAGTATAGCAGACACAGCTTTTGGCTGGTAGAAACAGGTAAGTACATGATTAAATCTAAAGTAATAGGTACTAAAGTAATGGTATTGAGATTCAGAGATGGGAGAAACTAGGTACACCTTTGTGTGCATGTGTGTGTGTGTGTGTGTGTGTGTGTGTGTGTGTGCGCATGCATACATGAACACGTGTCATGGGAGACATGGGTAGGGATTCACAAAGGGATTGAGAAAATCAAAAGTGATGGGGAAACAAGAGAAAAGAACACTATAGGAAATGACACTTAGGCATAGCTTTTAAATCTGTTTTCAAACATGAACAAAAATTGAGAGAATGACATAATAAACACTCATGTACCTCTCATTTGCCTCAATTATAAGCAATTTGCCAGTCTCAAATCATGTACCCTCCTCAGTTTTTAAACCTTATTTTAAAGTAAATACAAAACAGAAGTTTTTTTTTTAATTATTGTAGTAAGCATACAACATGAAATCTACCCTTTTAAAATTTTAAGTTCACAATACATTGATGCTAGCTATAGGTAGAATGTTGTACAGCAGTTCTGTTGAACTTATTCCTGTTGCATAACTGAACTTTATACTGGAGCAGGTTTTTCAGTTTCCATGTAGTTGAGCAGTTTTGAGTGAGTTTCTTAATCCTGAGTTCTAGTTTGATTGCACTGTGGTCTGAGAGACAGTTTGTTATAATTTCTGTTCTTTTACATTTGCTTAGGAGTGCTTTACTTCCAACTATGTGGTCAATTTTGGAATAAGTGTGTTGTGGTGCTGAGAAGAATGTATAATCTTGATTTGGGGTGAAGAGTTCTGTAAATGTCTATTAGGTCTGCTTGGTGCAGAGCTGAGTTCAATTCCTGGATATCCTTTTTAACTTTCTGTCTCGTTGATCTGTCTAATGTTGACAGTGGGGTGTTAAAGTCTCCCATTATTATTGTGTGAGAGTCTAAGTCTCTTTGTAGGTCTCTAAGGACTTCCTTTATGAATCTGGGTGCTCCTATATTGGGTGCATATATATTTAGGATAGTTAGCTCTTCTTGTTGAATTGATCCCTTTACCATTATGTAATGGTCTTCTTTGTCTCTTTCGATCTTTGTTGGTTTAAAGTCTGTTTTATCAGAGACTAGGATTGCAAACCCTGCTTTTTTTTTTTTTTTCCATTTGCTTGGTAGATCTTCCTCTGTCCCTTTTTTTTGAGCCTATGTGTGTCTCTGCATGTGAGATGGGTCTCCTGAATACAACACACTGATGGGTCTTGACTCTTTATCCAGTTTTCCAGTCTGCATCTTTTAATTGGAGCACTTAGGCAATTTACAGTTAAGGTTAATATTGTTATGTGTGAATTTGATCCTGTCATTGTGATGTTAGCTG
This sequence comes from Homo sapiens, assembly GCF_000001405.40. NCBI lineage: Eukaryota > Metazoa > Chordata > Mammalia > Primates > Hominidae > Homo > Homo sapiens. The sequence continues at coordinate 146,304,325 of NC_000007.14, forward strand.
GCTCTTTTGCTCGTTAGTTGATGCAATTTCTTCCTAGCATTGATGGTCTTTACAATTTGGCATGTCATTGCAGTGGCTGGTACCGGTTGTTCCTTTCCATGTTTAGTGCTTCCTTCAGGAGCTCTTGTAAGGCAGGCCTGGTGGTGACAAAATCTCTCAGTGTTTGTTTGTCTGTAAAGGATTTTATTTCTCCTTCACTCATGAAGCTTAGTTCGGCTGGATATGAAATTCTGGGTTGGAAACTCTTTTCTTTAAGAATGTTGAATATTGGCCCCCACTCTCTGCTGGCTTGTAGAATTTCTGTCAAGAGATCTGCTGTTAGTCTCATGGGCTTCCCTTTGTGGGTAACCTGACCTTTCTCTCTGGCTGCCCTTAACATTTTTTTCCTTCATTTCAACTTTGGTGAATCTGACAATTATGTGTCTTGGAGTTGCTCTTCTCGAGGAGTATCTTTGTGGAATTCTCTGTATTTCCTAAATTTGAATGTTGGCCTGCCTTGCTATTTTGGGGAAGTTCCCCTGGATAATATCCTGCAGTGTTTTCCAACTTGGTTCCATTCTCCCCCTCACTTTCAGGTACACCAATCAGATGTAGATTTGGTCTTTTCACATACTTCCATATTTCTTGGAGGCTTTGTTCATTTCTTTTTACTCTTTTTTTCTCTAAACTTCTCTTCTCACTTCATTTCATTCATTTGATCTTCAATCACAGACACCTTTTCTTCCACTTGATCAAATAGGCTACTGAAGCTTGTCCATGCATCACGTCGTTCTCATGCCATGGTTTTTAGCTCCATCAGGTCATTTAAGGACTTCTCTACACTGTTTATTCTAATTAGCCATTTGTCTAATCCTTTTTCAAGGTTTTTAGCTTCTTTGCGATGGGTTCGTACATCCTTCTTTAGCTCAGAGAAGTTTGTTGTTGCCAGTCGTCTGAAGCCTTCTTCTCTCAACTCGTCAAAGTCTTTCTCCGTCCAGTTTTGTTCCGTTGCTGGCGAGGAACTGCATACCTTTGGAGGAGAAGAGGCGCTCTGATTTTTAGAATTTTCAGCTTTTCTGCTCTGGTTTCTCCCCATCTTTGTGGTTTTATCTACCTTTGGTCTTTGATGATGGTGACATACAGATGGGGTTTTGGTGTGGATGTCCTTTCTGTTTCTTAGCTTTCCTTCTAACATTCAGGACCCTCAGCTGCAGGTCTGTTGGAGTTTCCTGGAGGTCCACTCCATACCCTATTTGCCTGGGTATCACCAGTGGAGTCTGCAGAACGGCAAATATTGCTGCCTGATCCTTCCTCTGGAAGCTTTGTCTCAGAGGGGCACCCTACGAGGTCCATAACAAAATGGAGGCAGAAATAAAGATGTTCTTTGAAGCCAATGAGAACAAAGACACAACATACCAGAATCTCTGGGACACATTTAAAGCAGCGTGTAGGGGGAAATTTATAGCACTAAATGCCCACAAGAGAAAGCAGGAAAGATCTAAAATTGACATCCTAACATCACAATTAAAAGAACTAGAGAAGCAAGAGCAAACACATTCAAAAGCTAGCAGAAGGCAAGAAATAACTAAGATCAGAGCAGAACTGAAGGAGATAGAGACACAAAATACCCTTCAAAAAATCAATGAATCCAGGAGCTGGTTTTTTGAAAAAATAAACAAAATTGATAGACCGCTAGCAAGACAAATAAAGGAGAAAAGAGAGAAGAATCAAATAGACGCAATAAAAAATTATAAAGGCGATATCACCACCAATCCCACAGAAATACAAACTACCATCAGAGAATACTATAAACACCTCTATGCAAATAACCTAGAAAATCTAAAAGAAATGGATAAATTCCTGCACACATACACCCTCCCAGGACTAAACCAGGAAGGAGTTGAATCACTGAATAGACCAATAACAGGTTCTGAAATTGAGGCAATAATTAATAGCCTACCAACCAAAAACGTCCAGGACCAGATGGACTCAGAGCTGAATTCTACCAGAGGGACAAAGAGGAGCTGGTACCATTCCTTCTGAAACTATTCCAATCAATAGAAAAAGAGGGAATCCTCTCTAATTCATTTTTTGAGGCCAACATCAGCCTGATAACAAAGCCTGGCAGAAACACAACAAAAAAAGAGAATTTTAGACCAATATCCCTGATGAACATTGATGCAAAAATCCTCAATAAAATACTGGCAAACTCAATCCAGCAGCACATCAAAAAGCTTATCCACCACGATCAAGTTGGCTTCATCCCTAGGATGCAAGGCTGGTTCAACATACACAAATCAATAAACGTAATCCATCATATAAATAGAACCAAAGACAAGTTGGCTTCATCCCTGGGATTCAAGGCTGGTTCAACATACACAAATCAATAAATGTAATCCAGCATATAAACAGAACCAAAGACAAAAACCACATGATTATCTCAGTAGATGCTGAAAGGCCTTTGACAAAATGCAACATCCCTTCATGCTAAAAGCTCTCAATAAACTAGGTCTTGATGTACATATCTCAAAATAATAAGAGCTATTTATGACAAACCCACAGCCAATATCATACTGAATGGGCAAAAACTGGAAGCATTCCCTTTGAAAACGGGCACAAGGCAGGGATGCCCTCTCTCACCACTCCTATTCAACATAGTGTTGGAAGTTCTGGCCAGGGCAATCAGGCAAGAGAAAGAAATAAAGGGTATTCATTTAGGAAAAGAGGAAGTCAAATTGTCCCTGTTTGCAGATGACATGATTGTATATTTAGAAAACCCCATCGTCTCAGCCCAAAATCTCCTTAAGCTGATAAGCAACTTCAGCAGTCTCAGGATACAAAATCAATGTGCAAAAATCACAAGTATTCTTACACACCAATAACAGACAAACAGAGAGCCAAATCATGAGTGAACTCCCATTCACAATTGCTTCAAAAAGAATAAAATACCTAGGAATGCAACTTAGAAGGGATGTGAAGGACATCTTCAAAGAGAACTACAAACCACTGCTCAATGAAATAAAAGAGGACGCAAACAAATGGAAGAACATTCCATGCTCATGGATAGGAAGAATCAATATTGTGAAAATTGCCATACTGCCCAAGGTAATTTATAGATTCAATGCCATCCCCATCAAGCTACCAGTGACTTTCTTCACAGAACTTGAAAAAACTACTTTAAAGTTCATATGGAACCAAAAAAGAGTCAGCATTGCCAAGACAATCCTAAGCCAAAAGAACAAAGCTGGAGGCATCACACTACCTGACTTCAAACTATACTACAAGGCTACAGTAACCAAAACAGCATGGTACTGGTACCAAAACAGAGATACAGACCAATGGAACAGAATAGAGCCCTCAGAAATACTACCACACATCTACAACCATCTGATCTTTGACAAACCTGACAATAACATGAAATGAGTAAAGGATTCCCTATTTAATAAATGGTGCTGGGAAAACTCGCTAGCCATATGTAGAAAGCTGAAACTGGATCCCTTCCTTACACCTTATACAGAAATTAATTCAAGATGGATTAAAGACTTAAATGTTAGACCTAAAACCATAAAAACCCTAGAAAACCCAGGCAATACCATTCAGGCCATAGGCATGGGCAAGGACTTCATGACTAAAACACCAAAAGAAATGACAACAAAAGTCAACATTGACAAATGGGATCTAATTAAACTAAAGAGCTTCTGCACAGCAAAAGAAACTACCATCAGAGTGAACAGGCAACCTACAGAATGAGAGAAAATTTTTACAATCTACCCATCTGACAAAGGGCTAATATCCAGAATCTACAAAGAACTTAACAAATTTACAAGAAAAAAATCAAACAACCCCATCAAAAAGTGGGCAAAGGATATGAACAGACACTTCTCAAAAGAAGACATTTATGCAGCCAACAGACACATGAAAAAATGCTCATCATCACTGGCCATCAGAGAAATGCAAATCAAAAACACAATGAGATACCATCTCACACCAGTTAGAATGGCAATCATTAAAAAGTCAGGAAACAACAGGTGCTGGAGAGGATGTGGAGAAATAGAAATGCTTTTACACCATTGGTGGGATTGTAAACTAGTTCAACCATTGTGGAAGACAGTGTGGCGATTCCTCAGGGATCTAGAACTAGAAATACCATTTGACCCAGCCATCCCATTACTGCGCATATACCCAAAAGATTATAAATCATGCTGCTATGAAGACACATGCACATGTATGTTTATTGCGGCACTATTCACAATAGCAAAGACTTGGAACCAACCCAAACGTCCATCAATGATAGACTGGATTAAGAAAATGTGGCACATATACACCATGGAATACTATTCAGCTGTAAAAAATGATGAGTTCATGTCCTCTTAGGGACATGGATGAAGCTGGAAACCAGCATTCTGAGCAAACTATTGCAAGGACAGAAAACCAAACACCACATGTTCTCACTGATAGGTGGTAATTGAACAATAAAAACACTTGGACACACGGCGGGGAACATCACATACCGGGGCCTGTTGTAGGGTGGGGAGACGGGGGAGGGATAGCATTAGGAGATATACCTAATGTAAATGACAAGTTAGTGGGTGCATCACACCAACATGGCACATGTGTACATATGTAACAAACCTGCATGTTGTGCACATGTACCACAGAACCTAAATTATAATAATAATAATAAAGAAAGAAAGAAACTTTGTACTTACTGAACAGCAAACAACAGACTATCTTTTAAACCCATTTTACTCTGCTTAGTTTTAAATATTGAGTGCAGGTGGGAGAACTAGATATGAGAAGAACCACCTTTTTATTATTGGAAATGACCAAGGGCATTGTTTTGGTTAAAGTAATTTTAGGATGTTTCCATTGACCATTGATATCTTACATACATTTCCTGTTTTAACTTCGGAGCGAGTCATTTTGAAGGATTTTGCTGGACTTTCAGAACGTGTGATTTGTTTTAACGGTGCTCTCGGGCTGCCATATGTGTTTATGTAGGCTGTGTCCTGAAGAAGGGGTCTCTGTTAGGGGGTATGAGTACGCTGAAAATGAAGCACTCTCCAAGCAGCACAGAGGTGCATTTTCTCATCTGCAGTAAGGCATCTTAGCGGCCAGTGGTCCTGACAGCAGCAAGTAGATCTCAAAGCCATTTCACGGGCCTTCTCATATTCACACTAATTCTAAATCAGACTTCTGTTAAGAAAGGAGAAATAGGTGGGGCGCGGTGGCTCATGCATGTAATCCCAGCATTTTGGGAGGCTGAGGCAGGTGGATCACCTAAGGTCAGGAGTTCGAGACCAGCCTGGACAACATGGTGAAACCCTGTCTTTACTGAAAATACAAAAATTAATCGGGCGTGTTGGCGGGCGACTGTAATCCCAGCTACTCGGAGGATGAGGCAGGAGACTCGCTTGAACCCTGGAGGCGGAGGTTGCAGTGAGCCAAGATCAGCCCATTGCACTCCAGCCTGGGTGACCCAGTGAGACTCTGTCAAAGAAAACAAAAAAAAGAAAGAAGAAAGGAAAGGAAGGAAGGAAGGAAGGAAGGAAAGAAAGAAGGAAGGAAGGGAAAGAGGAAATAGAATTTAACAATTTGAACAAAAAAAGGGGGAATAGAATTTAACAATTTGAACTAAATACAAATAAAGTCCTTTGCTGCTATCAAAATGCAATTGTGACATAGAGTTAGTGCAAATATGTTATTGTGTAATGACTGTGCAAATTGCTTTTCTGTATGTTTGTCTTATATAATATTGACAGTACTACATAGTGTGTCAAAAAACTAAACTTGGTATTTTTAATGCTAAAATGAGTAAACACTAATCAGAATGCCAGCAGGTACAATATCTTTGAATGAAAATAACACATTCAAACTGCTGTTTCTGTTCTCTTTGGTACACGGTCTGCATAGTTAGTATGATAAATGCGAATAGAATTTTCATGCTGACATTTAATTAAAATGAAATTACCTATCATTGTTACCCACTACACAGAAGCTATTATTTATGTTGATATTATTCTAATATTGTATTAAGCTGATATTGAATTTGTATCAGTGTTTTTTATGAACTGAATTATTTCTGATTCCTCAGTTGTTTTTAAAAGCCAAGGAGTAGATACTATTGCATTGTGCGTGGATAGAGCATATTTTCCTCTTATTTGAAAAGTTAGAGGTGGAAATCATGTAGTTCAGTGTAACTATAATTGTACTATTTTCCTGTTTTTTTTTCTTTTGTCTTCTTTGGCTATTTTGATGCCTTTTAATGCATCCCCCTGTTGATGTACAGTTTAATATCTGATATAACACTAAGATTAATTTTTTAATTGTTAATATATCTTTGACTAGTCTTTCCCTATATTATTACCATTGTGATTACTTTTACTTACTACGATCAAAGTAGCAACTTGTAGTCAGATAGCAGTGATATTCACGGTCTATCAATTTATCCATTCATCCATTTATCCATCCTACTTTTCTTCCCTTCCCCCATCCATCCATTATGTACTGTGGATTTGCACTGAAGTCAATTGGAATTAAGTATTATAAAACTCTATTTTACTAATAGCCATATAAAACCCTTAAGAGGCAATTCAGACATTCACAATACTTGGAATTTTAACAGTTACCTCTATTGACTATTACAATATAGCATAATCTGTAAAATCACTCTGGCAAAAATGTGTATCTATGTTTTAGTTCTAAGGAAGCACCACTCAGTACAATGAAACAGGAAGAAATGCTAGTGATTTACATTGTTCTTGAGGAAGTTAAAAAAAATCAATTCATTGTGATTCTGAAGCTTTCTCTTTAGGTCAGATATTGTTATATTGATAACAAAGCAATGACACCACACAGTTTTTGTGCTCCAATAAATGTGATTTCAAATTTTACAAATAAACATTTTTCCCTTTTAAAAAGTATATACGTCTATCTGTTTAGTTGGACAAATGAAGACAAAGCAAATTTCTGTGACCCAAATCCAAGTCTGAGTACTCAAGTTTGGGTTTGTACAGTTTAGTTTAACTTAAAAACAAGTGACTTGTTCATTTCTACGCCACAAATACCTAAAACAACAAATATTACACATCATTTTTGGTTGAGAGGAATGACTAAATCATTGTTTCTAGTGATTGCTTCTTATGACAAATCAACATTGTTTATTAAAAATATGAGATTTTATAGAGGTCAGGCATGGTGGCTCAGACCTGTAATTCTAGCCCTTGGGAAGCGGAGGCTGGAGAATCCCTCGAAGCCTGGAGTTTGAGACCAGCCTGGGCAACAAAGCAAGACCTTGTCTTTACAAAAAAAAAAAAAAAAAAAAAGAAAGAAAGACAGAAATTAGGAAAGAAAGCAAAGAAAGAAAGGAAAGAGAAAGAAAAGAAGAAAAGAAAGAAATAAAGAAAGAAAAAGATTGGCTGATCTGAGTGCAGTGGTGTTTACAACTAATTCATCACAACCAGTTACAGAGATTTATTTGTCCCATCTCTACACCTAACTCCTTCATTTAACTAGAAAAATATATATATATATTAGATTTTATAAGAAGGAAAGTAGAACATACAAATAATATTAAGTACTTATCTATTACTTGAGATATACCAACTAGGGAAGACAGAGGAAGGACAATCAATATAAATCATATTTAAACAACTACTCTAGTAAATTGATCAAAGTCTGGTTAGTATTATCTGCTTTAAGTTTTTCTAAGGATTTTCAATGAGAGAAGACCGTATCATTTCCCCACAACCCAACCTATCCAGCGTTTTTCTGGAAGAGGCTATTAGCAACACATAAGCTGCCAGCAATGTAAAATCCCCTTATTTGCTGCCTTAACATTTGGGATAAAAAGTGTTGACACCATTATTTTTTAACCTCGATCTCATTGAGGAACTTCCTGAATTTTCTAACATCAATTTACTGCTAAAGATCTATATAATAAGGAGATTTTGAATGTTAGGAACCTGTGATTATGGGTGAGAGTTAGTTGATGAGAGGGTGAGAGTTAGTTGATGAGAGGATTCGAAGCTCTAACATCTCGGAATAACTGGTAACACATATCTTTGCAACATAGCTTCATTTCACTGTTAGGCTTTGGTGTGTTGGCGATTTTTTATGTGTGTAATTAACATATTTTATTGACAATATTTATGTATATCTGTAATTACATATATCTGTACAATGTGACATTTAATCTATGTAGGCATTATAGAAAGTTTCAGTCAAGTGAATTAACATGCCCTTCACCTCACCAATTTATCACTTTTCTGTGGTGAGAACATTAAAACTTTTTAAAAACAAATCTGAAATATACATTATTATTATCTGTGGTCAACATACAATGCATTACATCACTAAAGTTCATTCCTTCAGTCTAACTAATTCTTTGTACCTCTGATTAACATCTTCTCTTCCCTCCACTCCTAGTTTCTGGTATCCACATTTCTATTCCTTGTTTCTGAAATAGACCACTTTAGAGTCCATATATAAGTGAGATCATACCGTATTTGTCTTTCTGTGTTTAGCTTATTTCATTTAGCATATTGTTCTACAGTTTCATCCATGTTATTGCAAATGATAAAATTTCCTTCTTTTTTAAGGGTATATAGTATTCCATAGTGTATATATACTGCATTTTCTGTATGCATTCATCTGTTCCTGGATACTTATATTGCTTTCATATCTTGGCTATTGTGAATAATCTAAAAGAAATCTGGGAATGCCGATATCTCCTTGACATACAGATTTCACTACCTTTGGAATATATCCAGAAGTGGGATTGCTGAATCACATAGTAATTCTATTTTTAGATTTACGAGTTACTCCCATGCTATTTTCCAAAATAGGTGTACTAATATACTTTCCCATCAACAATGTACAAGGGTTACCTTTTCTCCACATCCTTGCCAATACTTGTTGGCATCAGTCGTTTTGATAATAGCCATTCTAATGGGCATGTGGTGATATCCCACTGTGGCTTTAATTTGCATTTCTCTGATGATTGGAGATGTGGAGCAGTTTTTCATATATCTATTGGCCATTCATATCTCTTCTTTTGAGAAATGTCTGTTCAGATTCTTTGCACATTTTATAATTGGGTTGTTTTCTTGTCATGAGTTAAATTCCTCATATGACGTGGATATAAACCCCTCATCAGGTGTATAGTTTGCGAATATTTTCTTTAAATCTGGTTTCTCTCTTCATCGAGTTGTTTCCTTTGCTATGCAGAAGCTGTTTAGTTTGAGGCAATTCCGTTTGTCTATTTTTGCTTTTGCTGCCTGTGCCTTTGGAGTTCCATCTAAAAAATAATTACCCAGACCAAAGCTGTGGAGATCTTCCCCTGTTTTCTTATAGTATCTTTGTAGTTTTAGGTCTTATATTTAAGTCCTTTATCAATTTTAAATTGATATTTGGGCCTGGCACGGTGGCTCACAGCTGTAATCCCAGCATTGTGGGAGGCAGAGGCGGGCAGATCACCTGAGGTCAGGACTTTGAGACCAGCCTGGCCAACATGCTGAAACTCCGTCTCTACTAAGAACACAAAAATTAGCCAGGTGTGGTAGCACATACCTGTAGTCCCAGTTACTCAGGAGGCTGAGGCAGGGGAATCTCTTGAACCCGTGAAGCGGAGGTTGCAGTGAACTAAGATGGCACCACTGCACTCCGGTCTGTATGAAAGAAAGAGACTCCATCTCAAAAAATTATATATGTATATATATATAAATTGATATTTGTATTTCTAGTGATATGGGGTCTGATTTCGTTCTTCTGAATATGAATATTCGGTTTTCCCATCAGCATTTGTTGAATAAAATCCGTCATTTCCTATTATGTATTCTTGTCACCTTTGAAAGAAATCAATTGATCATAAATACTTGAGCTTATTTTCTGGGCTTTCTAACCTGTTCCATTCGTCAGTGTTCCTCCTTAATCAGCCCAGTCAGAGATTCTAAGTGCCTCTAAGTTTTGTGTTTGTCCAGCCTGCTGTCTTTGTTCTTAGTGGCCCCAATACATGGGAGAGTATCAAGTTGTGCTATCGCCTTGAGAGACATTTGATAGAAGCCAGTCCCTAGGAATGTGGCTGGAGAGGTCGGGGTGTTAGATGCGTGTTCCAGTTCTTTCTGTCTCTCTTTTCAGAGAAGCTGAGAGCCAGAGTTTCTTTCTCATCCATTCTGCCTTACTCCAAGGAATGAAGCTGAGATAGATGCCTGTACCCTTGATCATACTGCTCACTTTGAACCTGGGGAGATACTTGTTGAATGTTTGCAAGTTTAAAAGTCACCTTTTGTTCCCTGTGGTCTAGGAGATTCAGGAGCGTGGAGTTCTGTCAACTCCCAGAGCCAGGTGATTTAGGAGCCAGTCCCAAGCAAAGACTGTAAAAGTTGAAGTATTTGATGCATGTAGAAACTGCCTCCAGGGAGGGTCTTCAGATCTATATTTACTGCTGGGTCAAGCTGGGGAAGAAGGTGCAGAGAGTGCCCACAGTCCTGCTTGAGCATTCAGAAGACGCCCTCCCTCATAGCAGGGGAGACTTCTGGTCTGGAGTGCCCACTTTCCTTTAAGACATGAAGAGGTCTCTCTGCTTCCTTCCAATAAGAGATTGCGGAGTTTATCTCTAGAGCAAGCTGAGGGAGAAGGCACAGGAGTGCTGTCCCTCCCAGTCTTGCTGGGAGAAGACTTCAACTCTTCACAGAGAGACTGCAGGGCTGGGATTAGCACTGGAGAAAGCCAGGGAAGGCCCTCGTAGGTGCTGTGCTTCCTGTTTAGGCTCAAGTTGGCTTTTTCTTTATTGCTTTGTAGGCTCCCAGAGACTGACCTGTTAAAGGCCAAAACCACAGGGAACTGCTGTGAAGCCAAACCCTCTCCAGGGGAAGGGTGGAAGCTGGACAGATCTAGGGGCTACCGCTGCTGAGAGTGCCCTCAGAGGCAGTTCAAATTCTTCTTTGTTTTTGTGCTTGAGGGAAATCTCCCAATGTGCTGTCTCTGACATTCTGCAAGTGGGGTGATCTAAGAGCCCCTCCCCCTTGCAGTGATGGTAAAAGTTGGGCATTATAGGTGTGGTGCAAGCCTGTTACCCCTCAGGAAGAAGCTGGGAGTTGAGGTTTCTTTCCAAATGTAAGGCACTGTGCTCAGGGTGGGGTTATGCCTGAGTGTATCTCCACTTTTTCTACTCATTTGGGTGTATTTTCATAGTTGTCAGGTGTGTAGGAGTCTTTGAGCTGGATTCTGGCTTTCTCTGGGACAGAACTGATCCACTCATGGCTATTTACTTGGTGTGTCTGTGGGAGGAGGGAGCATCAAGAGTCTCCTCTCTGCCACCTTGCTGACTTCCTGTGTTGAATATTTTTGACTTGTGTTTATTTACATTTTGTTTATACATTTGTATTTTTTCAATTAGTGATACTACAATTCATGAATTCTGCTTTATGCTATCAATTATGAGTAGCCTTAGGTTAATTGCTATATTTAATTTCCTGTTACAGCTATAGCTTCTTGTGGCTTAGAATTGCCTTAGAATGTAATAATTCTAGCAACAAAAGAAAATAGATTGAAATGGGCCAGACAGACATTCATCTGTTCTCTCTTTTCATAAAAAGGAAAACTAAAAAGTGCTTATAATTTGAGATATTGCTGCCCATTTGAAATTATAAAAAGTCTCTAAATTAAGACATAACTGCTTATTTCTTTCAGTTTTTTGAAACAAATCAAGTAAACTATACACAGAAGATACATGATCATTTCTCTCATGATTTAATTTTAGACAATGCCTTTTAATCTTTTTATTTCATTTTAAGTTAAAAAGGCCATTTGCCTTCTGTATTAATTATTTTGTTTATCAAGTCATCTGTAATTGTTTGTAGATAATGATAATGTATTTTGAAAGCAGCTTTTTTTTTGTTCCTATATACCCCAAATGTTACTTCATAACATTTTTATTTTATTTTTCTTTCTTGATCTTCAAGTGAAAGAGATAAAGCCTGGTGCTTCCCTTTCTTGTCAGTTTTAGAAATTAAAGGAGAGAGAAAAGAGGCTGAACAACAGATGCAAGGTCAGATTAAATGTCTCATTAGAGCCTTTTATGCAAATGCTGAACCCTGCAGTCTTGAACCGACAGACATTTCACTGTTTGGGATCCTGATGAGTCAAGTAGAGACAAGGTAAGAGTCATATTGGTTATTTAGATAAAAGACTTAAACCAAAACATAGGGCTGAGAATTAGGACCCCGGGGGTGATAAAAAATTACATATTAAAAAAAATTATGTCATAAGTCCACCCGTGGTGGGAGATAACTTTCATGAAGCTGTGTTTGGTCATGAGAAGTTGCTAGACTCCATGGTGGAACATACTTAACATACGTCCATAAGATACGTTTACGCAAAGGATAAGCAGGATGTTTTCTATTTATAACTGTGTCCTGTATGACAGAAGTTTTAAATGTGTTCAGGTTTTTTAATTTTTTTTTTTTTTAATAAAAACTACTACTCCAATCACTGTGTGGCTTCTCCAAGCACACCTACTCTTTCCAAGAGCTATCACTCTATCAGAGGGGCACTGCTGCTCTTCTCACCCACCTACGGGAGGTCGTCAGAGGAGGGACACTGAATCCAGAAGCATAGGGGCCTTGTTCAATGGGGATTCATTCATTCATTCATTCAATACATATTTACAAATCACTCAAACTAAACACTTTCAATTGAAAATTGTGTTATGTACCGCATACCATGATGGATAATACCACAACTTGGTACGTCATAGAGTTATGAAGATTGATAAACATTTGTATTTTCTTAGTCCCTTTTTATTTATTCATATACATTTTAATATCTGATTATCATGTTTGAATTTCCTTTGATTATAATGTTCTTTATAAATGCAATACATTAAAATTAGAAGTTAGCAGTTGACTTTATAAGAATCATTACAAAATTTATAATTATTCAAACAACACAAGCAAATAGGTAATCATCTATACTAAGCTCTAATATAAGTTCCAAGACAGGCTAAATCCAGTATACTGCCTTGTATTTTTTTGTCCCATCTTTCTGAGAATCTTTGTATAATTTGACAATAATGTCAAGTGGAAAGAGAAATAAATCCCTCTTTTTCTTTTCCTGCATGTTGTACCTGAGAGTGTTTTTTCCTTTTCTGACACTCCTTTTGTATAGTTCTTTCAGCAGTAGCAATTTATTCTAATAAATAGGCACTCATCACATGATCTGGAAACTACTGATTTCGTCTCAGTCTGCCACAAATACAATTAAGCTGTTCTGTTTCCATGGTTAGCCATCCTGTTTTCTAAAATAGGAGGTTTCTAAACCTCTCCATTTTCTACAAGTTAAAAACTGGAGCTATTCTTTTTTAATTGGTTCTTCTGTATTGGATCAAAGCATGCTATGCAATTACTGATGCTGTCATATTGGCAGAAAGAATACGCAGAAGTTCAAGCTAACATTACACATGTCATCTTTCCTTGAAGAAGTACACACAGTTAACTCAATCAAAGCAATGTAAAGCTTGTTTTTTGAGGCATTGTTTCCAATAAAAAGATGAAATTGGCCGGGCATGGCGGCTCACGCCTGTAATCCTAGCACTTTGGGAGGCGAAGGAGGGCGGATCACGAGGTCAGGAGATCGAGACAATCCTGGCTAACACGGTGAAACCTCATCTCTACTAAAAATACAAAAAATTAGCCAGGTGTGGTGGCACGCACTTGTAGTCCCAGCTACTGTGGAGGCTGAGGCAGGAGAATCGCTTGAACCCGGTAGGTGGATGTTGCAGTGAGCCAAGATCGCACCACTGCACTCCAGCTTGAGCAACAGAGCAAGACTCCATCTCAAAAAAAAAAAAAAGATGAAATTAACATTTTTATCATACTATTATTGGATGTAAACTAGTGATTATAATGATTATGAAATATATAGCAAAATGGATCAGAGTTTTACACATTTAGTTCTGTTTTGATTGTTTTTCATATTTAAAATAATAAAGTGTTGAGAATTCTACTAAAGCTATAAAATAAAAAGCTTTCATCTTAAAACAATCTTATCATTGTAGATGATCTGATTTTCATACCGATAAACATGCCATGTTACTTCATTGTCAATATATTATACAGGCAAAATAAGACAAAATATACGTCACTTAAAAATTTAAAAAATGTCTTATAGGCTTCTGAAAATGATTAGGCACATACTATCACTTTTTCCTGTGAAATAAAAAGAGATAGTCTTTAATATTTAGAATGATTGTTCAACTTAATGCCTTCTCTCCCTATTTACAAACACTCTGTGTTTGGAAAACACACACCTTAAGCAAAATGCAGGTATATGTAAAAGAAACAGATCTTGTTTCAAGAGAGAAGATACGAAGAAAGCATTTAAAACAGTGAATGTCTTCACCATTACTCCTCAAATGGAGTAATGGTGAAGCCGGTGTGGAGGGAGTGTATAAAATTTTTGTAACACAGTTGGCAATACCTGAATACTTAAATATGTAAATTGTTAGGATACCTTAGAATTCAGTATAGAAATGTTATATATAATAATCTTACATAATAAAGTAATGCAATACATAATATGTATGTATAATCTTAACTCTTATGAATGCTTTGTAAATATAACCGATTGACAGCCAAAACAGTCCTTGGAGACAGATATCTCTTCTATTATCCCATTTTGCAGTTGAGAAAACTGAGGCACAAAAGGTAGAGTAATACGCCCACTGTCACAGATCCAACATGTCTTAGGGGTGGGATTTGAGCTCCGGCAACCTGGCTCTAGAGGTGTTGGTCTCGAATGCCTCAATCTTTTTGTTCTCCATGATAAGATGTGGCATCACAGAACCCTCCTTATCCTCTAGGTCAGATAACTTTTACTGTGCTTAGGATTTTAATGTCTTTCTAAGACTTAAATGATAATTTTTCCTTCTCAGCATGCATTTAATTTTGAATACATCATGCTATTGTACTCTAAGTCATGTATATAGATCCACAGCAATAAAAATACTTTAAAAAACTTGTCATAATTACACATTGATAAAGGGATTTCACTGTCATATCATCATTTTCAGAGGCTATCATATTAGTATAATTTAAAATATAGTAGTAAAAGCTTGAATCTATGTGTCTGGATAAGACTTTCTCAACAAGAGAGATTTTAGTAGACCGGGGTACAAATTGGACAAACAAATGTTAGAAAATAATGCTGAAGACAAAATATACTCAACTCACTTCTTATAGCAAATGTGTTAAAAGTGTACAGCTCATAAATTTGAACTCACATTGTTTTGATTTCTTATACTCTTTGAAGCCAGGCTTGACGTATGGATGCATATTTAAGATGTGATCGGCTTCAAACATGAATTGATTATTCTGTTTGATGTTCATTAACATTAAATAATTTGAGTGGGGCACTGAATCTGATTGTGTTTATTTTAGTGTGTGTTAGTGAAAACAGATTTCTGTGTAGCTGATCTAATGTAGGTGGACAGCAAGTGTCTGGGCTGTGTCTGCATTCCCATCGTTCGGGCATGGCTGTGTTGTCAGCTGCTGACTAATATGTCCCTTGAGTGACACCACAGTTCTGCTACATGAAGGGAGGAAAAGGCGAGTTCATTCTTTTGATTTTACACAGTAAACATGCCAATTTCCTCTTAATGTATTTCATAGGTAAGCAAAATAATGTAACTGTCGCCCCCCCCACCCCAGTTTTAGTACAAAAATAATTAAAACTCCATTAATGGTTTTATTTGGAAACAGACATCTGAATTAATATTTTTTCTCCATTACTGCAGCAAAAAAAGACTCTGAGTATAAATTGTTTAAAATGTTGATGAGGATTATATCATTAAAAAATTGACATCATGTTTTGAAATTGTCATTTTTGTAATAATAAATCATCATATATTTAATTTTGAATTTTTTTCTAGCTATAACCTGAACTTTGCAGATATTATACCTCTGTAGTTTGAGGTTTTGTTTCTGTTTTGTGTGGTGTCCTAGAGTGGCTGTTGTAGTTATACTCCAAAAAAGATGTTAATGCAAAAATATAATGCTTATAGGATAAGGGGTATAAATAGTTCACTTTCTTTCCCTTCAGGAACAAGTTACGTAAATTCATTATTATACTGAGGCAGAATGTTATACATAAGAAGAAGAAAATGGCACCAGACTAAATAGTACCTCTTGAAATGTTTCATTTATTTTCATGTTACGGTTACAATGTGAATTGATCTTCCTTCCCTTCTTCCCCTAGGAATCTGACTCTATGATCAGAACTAATTTTTTTCTTCCCTTTAAGCATACTGAGGGTTTGGAGATAGCTCCTATGGTTTTCAAAGTGGTGGATTGATTTAATTGACCAAAACATAGCAGGGAGTAGTCATCTGATTATACAAGTATAAAATAATACAGAAAGGGATTTTTTATTTCCACTGATACAATTCAATCAAGTTTCTTTGAGTTGCTGAGTTCAAACATTAAAGTTAAAAAAATTCTTGATTTATAAAGAAAATAAAAGTTATTTTCTAAATGGTTTGATTTCCAAGGAACAGGGAAAAAATGAAATATTGTTAAGATTTTCTGAACAATGAAATAAATATTGAGTATTAAATAAAAGATATAATATCTTTTAAAGAACAGATATCAGTTAAGGGCTATTAAAATTACTTTTGTTCTAGAGTTCTTATCAGAAGCTCTACCAAGTTTTTCAGTGTTTACAAACAGACTAACAGACCAATTTCATAATAATTTTCAAAAAAATATTGTAAAGTAAAGTATAAGGTAACATGATGTGATTTTTAAGGTCAATAATATTTTTACCTTAAAGATGATGATGCGCTTATTAGGAAAACAGTGGGGTAAAATAGGGTAGCCGAAATGAAACCAAAGATTAAAAAACAAAATAAAACAAACCCCAAGTTATCAAGTACTTAAATGGGGCATTATTTCCTTTGAGTATTTTTATTGTCATAGAATCAGATATAAATTATGAAAGAATTAAAACGAGAAGTTTTTAAATTTGTTTTACTTTTTAGGGATGGAAAGATTAGTGCCATTCTATCTGGTTTTCACTTTAAAATCGAGAACATCCCTCTGAGCCTTTGGAGTGGAGAGAACTCACTGTGTGGATCTCAGATCCCTCTTGTTTAATTTGCCTGAGTGCTTCACTGAGCTTGCACCTTCCTCCACACTGAGAACAAAAGCAGGCTACTGAATTACCTTTTGAAGCACTACCTCCTAACAGACCCCTTGGATTGAGAATATGGCAAATAACAGTGGCTGCAGCCGCCTTAAAAACAGAAGAGAATGGAGTGTGGAATGCAGACTTAACCTCAGTGTGATTTTGCTCCAGAATAAAGCGACATAGCTCTAAGTCAGGACATACCATGGGGCAAGGGAGTGATGGACAAAGCTAGGAAAAGAGATGTTCTACACACACACAAAGAGGTTCTTCTGAGTGTGGATGCTTAAAATCTCAAGAAGGAAAATGTTTTTCATCTGTGGTCACAAAGGCACAAGTAATCTAGTTTAAAATATCTAGAATGGAAAGCAGCCTCTGTATGGGATTAGTGGCTCCATTATTTCTTTTTTTCACAGCAATTTTACATGAGATCTGAAATTCTTTCCTTTGTAATCTAAACCTTTTCAGTTTTTAGATATATCATTTAAATATGAAAAAAAATTCAGGGAAAAGTAATTTTATTGTTTTAGTACAGGTCATGGACCTTGGAGTCTTCATAATGGCCAGGCCACATGGAAATAAATTCATAGGGAAAACCATGCTGTAAGGACAAAGGGATCTGGAGTGGGTTGAGGGGAAGGAAGGTATTAGGTAACCTTCACTTTTTATTCTGCCTAAGGCCAATACTAGTGGTTTCAATCTAGTGACATGCATGTTAGGGCACATTTTAGAGCATGTCACTGATAGCTGCCTGAAACAGCCAGTATTTGCACTGTCAGATAAAAGATATTGCCTGCTTCACAGTAAAGAATTCCCCTTTCCAGGTTTTAACAGGACAAGGGACGGCTAACTCAGATGTATGAGCTTTGGTAGTACCTCAGCTGGTCCATTAAAAATGTGCATGATGTTTAGAGGCATTTTATGATTTTTACAAGCATAATGTTTTCACTGGAAACGTAGCAGTTATCTAAATGTTCAGGGAAGGTTTTCTTCCAGGTATTGTTGCTTGTATCCTAGAATGATTTCATTCATAGGTGCAGTCTCAGAATGAAACATACAAATTTAAATTTGGGAAATCTATTGGATCCTCTTTTATTTTTAGGGACTTTTTTTCTCCTGTGAATAAGAGGAGACTGTTGTGTTCATTCTCTTTTTTTTTTTTTTTTTTGCTGGCTATGACGGTAACTGACACTCAGTAGGTCTTCCCTCAATATTTGTTGAGTGAATAGATGAAAGTACAGTGGGGAAAGGAAGCAGGGCATAAACACAAAAACGGATAATAATAGAGGTGGTGTTAATGACATTGAGGCCAAAATAGAAAATTTGATTCTAGTGGATGGTTTATCGCATGATACATATAATGGGTTATGAACTGGAAATCAGAGGGTGTGAATTTGCTTTTATTATAGTAGGAGAGAGGAGCTGATGAGCATTAGAAAATAATGAAAATGAGTCATTTTCTTACAAAATATTATCTTTCAGATAATATAGCATCATCAGAGTCTTTGGATTTAGAGCCAAAAGAGCCTTATATGCCATCTAATTAAATGTCTTATTTCTAATGTGTATGGGGAGATTTTCTGGAAAATTACCTATATGTGACCTAAAGTTTTTGGAAATGCCGTGTAAGAAGTTTTTCTTTTCATGGGAACTGGAAGGGATAAAAATCTGATTGCTTTTCTTCAGCAAAGCATACCAGCGTCCCCATTAGGCAAGTGATTATGCAGTGTTGAAAGGTATTTTCTTGAGAATGTTATTTTTTTCCTTTTCATTAATTATGCTTTGTCTAAAGGTTCTTTGTCAAAGCTCTGGCTAGTACTTGAAATTGTAATTGATAGGGAATAAAAGAAAGTAAAATCTTTGATCTCTCTCTCGGTGTTATGCAATATCTTTATTCTTGAGATCAAAAGACTCCGAGTATAATGCTGACCAAACAGAGGCTACAGTACTGATTTTGACAGAGACCAAGGACAACAGCTATGAAAGTTAACGGCTATATAGGCATGAAATGACAAAATCAAAACAAACAAAACTGTGAGAGTGCCTCTATGCTAAACATCCTTGCATCCTTACATAACATAAACAGACACATTAAAATAATAAATTCATAAAATAGGTACACAATATTATCCATAATATGGATCTATGATAGGTCCATAAATAATATTGTTCAGGAGAAGAGGTATTGCTCTTCTAGGAGAAACTATAGGACAAGCATATTTCCAGGAAGGCATCAAAATAAACATTTATTACAGAAAATCCTGAAGGAATAGCTTGTACCTATTCTTACAGTTGAAGGCTTCTAGGGAAAACTGGTATCTAGAACACATAGAGTTCCTTATTTCATAATAAATGCATCATTTATTAACATTGCTCCATTCCCTGTATCACTTGACCCTAAGAGCAATTATGAAGTTAATAAAGTTTATCTTTGATGTAATGGACATCCCTTTCTATTCTCCCCAGATTCTTTTTGTCTCAAGTATTTATTTCTCGTCATATGGCCTAAAGACATTTCTCTTATAAGGACTGTGCATTGGTAAACTAACTCTCAGAAGACTTAAAGTGACATCATGCTTTGCCACTCTGGGAATTATTTGAATTTAAAATACCCTTAAAAAGATAACAAGGCTTGGGCATGATGGTGGGTGCCTGTAATCCCAGGTACTTGGGAGGCTGAGGTGGGAGATTTGCTTGAACCCAGGAGGGGGAGGTTGCAGTGAGCTGAGATGGAACGATTACACTTCAGCCTGGATGACAGAGAGACTCTGTCTCAAAAGCAAAGCAAAACAAAACAAAACAAAAGAAAAAGAGTAAGGCTTAACCTAAGAGGTCTGAAACCTAAGTAGGGAGAGTTATCATGGGGTATTGTAACCAATGGTGCTCTCATTCAGTTAAGACCATGAAGGTACATAAATAGACACATCATCGGTGGTAGTTTTGCTGTGTGATTCCTAGCCACTCTCACAAAAGCTTCCCCTGTGTCTCCTGTTTAAATTGAAATTAGCAGTATCTGGTACTTTTCTCTAGACGTAGTAGAAATACTTAGATGGCAGAGGATTTCTACTTCCTTTCAGTATTACATTGATTCCTGACATCTTTCAGTCAGGGTTCTTTGATTAAAGTTGAATCATCTATCATTTTATTCTATTTTTAATTGCTTTGCTTTTTCTAATAAATATATATTCCCCTCTTTTAATGATATCATGAACTTTGAAAATGTTTCTTCCTTTGTCCTTCCAAAAATTAACTTATTTCAGTAGGGAAGGCTACAAAAATATTGGAAGAGTAATTATATATATATATATGTGCTGATATAAAACTATTTTATCAAAACCAAAACGAAAACGAACTTGAAAATCAATTATATAGGAATATGCAATTTTAGTATAAGAAAATAGGAAGTCAAAAATCATGGATCATTACTTAATAAAACAAAATAGTAAAAATGACAATATAGTTTTTTTGGATACAGATTCCCACTCTGTTGCACAGGCTGGATTGCAGTGGCACAGCAATGGCTCACTGCATCCTCTACGTTCTGTAATCAAGCGATCCTCCCGCCTGAGCCTCCTGAGTAGCTGCAACCACAGGTGCACACTACTACCAATTTTTTGTTTTTTTTCTTTAGAGAGGAAGCCTCACTCTGTTGCCCAGGCTGGTCTTGAACTCCTAGGCTCAAGAAATCCTCCTGCCTCAACCTCCCAAAGTGCTGGGATTACAGACAATATACTTCTAATTTATATTTGCAAAACATCAAATGTAAGACAATTAGAAAGTAGAAAAATCTTGATGAGTTTTAAAAAATTATAACATAAGTTTCTTAAAATGTACAATATATGTACAATATTAAGAAGTAGTAAAAAAGTCATATTTCTGACTTTGTGAATCAAAGCCAATGTATTCAACTTGCATTCTTCCCCATTTTGCATATAGGTATTTCTCCGGCCAATGAAAACCTACAATATTCAGATCTACATGGCTTACTGAATATTGTCTTTCCTTTTGTCCTGTTTTACATATGTTTTTATAGCCCCTTGTATAATTTCTATTTAGAATCTCAGTTGAAAAACTGAAGGGGAAAAAGACAGACAGATGGACACGCCCCCCTATACACACACACACATGCACACACACACAGGGAGAGAGAGAGAGATTAAATATGAATATGGAGGTGAACATAGGCAGGACTGGCACATGACAGGTATTTAATGCATCATTTCCTTACTTCCATATTTCTTTCCATCTTCCTTCATTCCTACTTTCCCTGCTTAAGACATTTTCAATAAAAAAAAACTTTAACATTTAAATTGGGTCAACAAGACACATCATGTGCACATAGTTTGGGTAATAATAATTAACTTCACGGTTAAATATGACATGATATGATGACATCAGACATGTTTATTAAGATGTTGTCTAGCTATCCATCTGGCCACAAACTGAGCTTACTTTACCAGTCTTCAAAAGAATTGCTCAGGCTAGAAAAATGTTAATTTCCCTGTTTATGTTGCTTAAACCCTGAAAAGTTATATTCTAACTAACAGTATTAAGATCTAAGTTAATGATTCTATCTACAATTATAGGTAATTATTAAGTGCTTAATGCAATGCTCAGACATGGTAGATCTAACAAATATTCTCACTGTTCAATTTCTCAAAATCCTATTTTACTAAAGATCACACACACGCATACACATACACATGCACTCTCACACACACATGCCTGATAATGCAGAGGAAAAAACATATTTGTAGTGATGCCAGTGGAAGGACTGTTGCATTAATTTTTCACTCATTTATATACACGATTCAGAAAATCAATAAACTATTCTTGTTTGTTTTCTCAAAGTCTTCAAAACGAATTAATGCATTTCAAAGTTTTGGAGCTAGCCTTGCATATCTCTTTTCCTGAATGCTCCTGAATCTTTATTCCATGTCAGAGCTTTGATGAATCAGTTACATGACAGTGAATGCCATTTGCTGATAGCAAATGAATTCAAATAGCCCTCAATCCATGTAGGACAAGACTGTCGTATACTTCTTGGTACTATTCCTTGTGTTATAAAATTGAGGTAATTGAGCATTTAATATCCCATTTACAATTTTGTGTATGTTGATGACACACCACAGCCGCAGGAAGCTATTAAAGTGCATAGACAGGTACATACACCAATCAAACTTTTGCCACAGAAAAGCATCTCCGTGGATGAAAAGAGTGGCGACTTTTTATTTTAAATTATGACAGCTCTGGGCAGCACTACTGGCAGCCAACTCACAGAACTAATTTACTATCACCTTTGTGATAGAAACAGCTTGATCTAAAATTTGTTAACTATGTAACCAGTTGGTTAACATGCTGTAAATTGGATGTTCAGTTCTTATGGAAGGAAATTCACATTTCATTTATTATATTTTTATGTCAATTATGTCGAAGAAAATATTTCTCTTCCTATGCAAATAAGTAATCTGATATATTTTTATTCCCCCAGAGAAAAGTATAAAAATGGAACTATTGCCCTGTAGAATATTCAAGACCATGGTGCCACTTATTTTATACTGCAAGTAGTAAAATCTGACATGGTAATAATATAGATAGTAAAATCTCACTGGGATGGAGGGATCAAGGGAGAAATTTCACTAATTCCCTAAACTTAATTATTCAAGGGTATTTGAAGAAAAAAAAGAAGATATTTAATATTTATAGGACTCCATGGTTCCATTTCATTCAGTGGAGCTTACACAAAATTTTGATTTAAGAGCAATCTGAACTAGTCAAATAGTAGACTGTACTGTAAACAATATGCTATATAACTGTTTGTATACAATGAAGTGGTAATATTGGTTAAACATTAAATTTACAAGAAAATTAGCATCAGGCAGATGGCAGAAGGCAACTCTTAAGTAATAAACACAATTGTATATCTGGTTGCACAGAAAGAATGAAACTTTGATAAACACAAATTCTCTTCTGTTCATTCTGCAAAATTTCACAACTGTAATAGAATGTAACTCCTGAAATACTACAAATGAAATTAAAATTTGAAAAGCCACATCCATGACTTACAGTTCATCTAGCAAGCAGTCCATACATTGTTTCATTGCTTATCAACAAATGAGAAAGCTATAAATGCCCAATGCATTTTGAAGGTCAATTTTTATGGTGGCATAATTTTAAACTAGCTCATCCTCAGTGGCTTTTGTAATAAAAAGGGATAAATTAATGGCCCCTTAACTAAAGTGAACTTTTGATACGGAAACAAAAAGAATATTAAGCATGTCCTATTTTAAGTAGAAGGATTAAGAGCTTTATTCCATGAAATAAATTGGGCAGGACCTAAGATTCAAGACTTTGAATTGGTTTCTAGGACATTAACATAAGGAGAACAAGAGAATTTGACATTGCTAGAAAGAGGCACAAAAGGATGTAGTATCTGTTAGAGGAAAGATTTTCACACTAGCTGACAGTAACTACAGGACGTATGGTGGACTGAAGTGTTTTTCTCAGTTTAATCTGTGTCTTCAAAAGGCGGCCTCAACCCTTGGGCCACAGACCGGTACTGGTCCATGGCCTGTTAGGGACGTGGCTGCTCAGCCGGAGGTGAGCAGCAGGCAAGTGAGCACTGCTGCCTGAGCTCAGCCTCTTGTCAGATCAACGATGGCATTTAGATTCTCATAGGAGCACGAACCCTATGGTGAACTGCACCTGCGAGGGATCTAGGTTGCGCACTCCTTATGAGAATCTAACTAATTAATGCCTGATGATCTGAGGTGAAACAGTTTCATCCTAAAACATCCCCTCCTGTCCATGGAAAAATTGTCTTCTATGAAACTGGTCCCCGGTGCCAAAAAGTTTGGGGACCACTGTTCTATCAAAATATCTTCTCCTTTGTTTTTCCAGCTTTATTGAGGTATGATCAATAAAGAAACAACGTATATATTTAAGGTATAAAAGTGATATATTGATAAATTTGTACATTGTGAAAAGACTACGACAAGTTAATTAACACATCCATAATTCACTTAGCGACCTGTGTGTGTGTGTGTGTGTGTGTGTGTGTATGGTGAGAACACTTGGAATGCATTCTCACAGCAAATTTGAAGTATACAATATATCATTAACTAGTCACTACATTGTATATAGGTCCTCAGAACT
The DNA here is from genome assembly GCF_000001405.40 of Homo sapiens. Taxonomy (NCBI): domain Eukaryota; kingdom Metazoa; phylum Chordata; class Mammalia; order Primates; family Hominidae; genus Homo; species Homo sapiens. The sequence continues at coordinate 146,328,640 of NC_000007.14, forward strand.
TGTTCATCTTATAAATGAAAGTTTGTACTCTTTGACCAGTATCTCCTCTTCTCTCCAGCCCCCAGCTCCTCCTAATCACCATTCTCCTCTCTGTTACCAAGAATTTAACTTTTGCTTTAGACTCCACATCTACGTGAGATCACGCAATATTTGTCTTTCTGTGCCTGGCTTATTTCACTCAGCACAATGTTTGTCAGATTGATCCATGTTGTCACAAGTGGTATGATTTCCTTTTTTACTACCGAATAATATTCTAAAGTTTCTATACCACATTTTCTTTACCAATTTATCTGCTGAAGGACACGTAGGTTGTTTATGTATTTGGCTATCATGAATAAATGTTACAGTGAACATGAGAGTGCAAATAGCTCTTCAAGACACTGATTTTATTTCTTTTGACCATATACCCAGAAGTAGGATTGCTAGACCATATGGGAGTTTTATTTTTCATTTTTAAGAAACTTCCATAATGACTTTACTAATTTCCATTCCCACCAGCAGGACACCAGGGTTCCCTTTTCTCTACATCGTGGTCAACAGCCATCCTAACAGGTGTGAGGTTCTATCACATTGTCATTTGGATTTGCGTTTCCCTGATGATTAATAACAAGACATATTCTCCTTGCCAAAATTACAACCAGACCATTTTTAAAATAACTTTAACCTATCATGTTCCAAACAAAAAATACCATCCTCTCCATAAGTGGCTATGGAAATTATTTCTTCTTTTCTGTTCTTTCCCTTTTTATTTGTGCTCACATCTGACATATATGGAGGCTAGCTGCCCATTTGTATCTTTGCCCAGTATTACTTCAAGCGTGAGTGTTCATCTTACTCATTTTTTAAAAATATATTTTGGGAGTCCAGCAGAAGTCTTGCATATAGCATGTATTAAATAAATACTTGCTGGCTTTAATTTGGTTTAATGTTGCCAAGTGTCTTTGCCAATATATTGCCAGTCACTTTCACTTGAAAACCTCAGCTTCGATTTTTATTATGTCAGTTTCTCTACTCTCTTGTTATGTACCAAATTCTAATGATATTTTAAGTCAGTTCTATTCTCACCAACCAGCCTTTTCTTTTAACACATCGGTATTACTGCAACACTTTCTAGCTGACCTCCTTGCCCAACCTAAGGTTCTTCTAACTTGAAGGCATTCTATGTACAACTGTGGTACTGAATAGCCACATTACTTCCCTGCTCAAGCATTATATAACGAGTCTTCACTACCTACTGCATCAAAGTGTAAAATTATTTCCCAAATTTTATACCCCCATAATTTAGTTTTTTATTTTTCTCCAACTTTATTTTTCATTATGCTGAAATATTTTCTTCGTTAAAAATCTCATTTATTGATTCAACAAGTACTTTCTTTTTTTTTTTTTTTTTTTTTTTTTTTGAGACAGAGTTTCACTCTTGTTGCCCAGGCTGGAGTGCAATGGCACAATCTTGGCTCACTGCAACCTCCGCCTCCCGGGTTCAAGCAATTCTCCTGCCTCAGCCTCCCAAGTAGCTGGGACTACAGGCATGCACCACCATGCCCAGCTAATTTTGTATTTTTAGTAGAGACAGGGTTTCTCCATGTTGATCAGGCTGGTCTCGAACTCCCGACCTCAGGTGATCCACCCACCTCGGCCTCCCAAAGTGCTGGGATTACAGGCGTGAGCCACTGCGCCCGGCTCGACAAGTACTTTCTTATCACCAGTAATATGACAAGCACTGTTTTAGATTCTGGAAGCATCACAAAGTTCCTGTATCTTTTTTGAAGGTGGTGATATGGGTGGCTATAAAACAAACCTGTTCTCACAGAGCACACAATCAATTGTATGTATAAAAATTACTAAAATATGTCAAGTGGTGATAAGTGCTATGAAGAAAAGTAAAGTATGATACAAGGACAGAGAATAATGGGGACATGGAGGGTTTTATTTTATTTAAAGTGCTCAAGAAAAGCCTTTCTCATACTTCAATGAAGGGAGAAACAAACCATACATATATCTGGTTATTAAACTTTTCATCGAAAGAGAACAGAAAGACCAAAAACCCTGAGGCTGGTTTATACTTGGCTGTTGGAGGAAAAGCAAGTGGCGATTTTATGGTGGCTTGGATTAGGATAGTAGCGACAAAAATGGGGGGAAATGTTAAAGGCAGCTACAATTTTTAAATTTGCCTATTGGCAGTATGTGCTAGTAATATATTACATGTCCGGGCCAGTACAGGGACCTCATCCTTTCTTTTCAATTAGCCCAATTATAATTGTGATGAGGATTTCTGGAGAAAAGTAATACTATGCTTTAATGATTCTAAGGTCTAAAATATAACCAAATTGCCTGTAAGATATAAGCAATGATCAGAAGGTGTTGTTCAATAACCAACTATCATGGCCGGGCGCGGTGGCTCACGCCTGTAATCCCAGCACTTTGGGAGGCCGAGTCGGGCGGATCACGAGGTCAGGAGATCGAGACCATCCTGGCTAACACGGTGAAACCCCGTCTCTACTAAAAATACAAAAAATTAGCCGGGCGTGGTAGCGAGCGCCTGTAGTCCCAGCTACTCGGGAGGCTGAGGCAGGAGAATGGCGTGAACCCGGGAAGCGGAGCTTGCAGTGAGCCGAGATCGCGCCACTGCACTCCAGCCTGGGCGACAGAGCGAGACTCCGTCTCAAAAAAAAAAAAAATAAAAATAACCAACTATCATATAAATTATTCGGCCCTTTATTGAGTATATTCCATTTATCCAGCAGTGTGATTTCTGGCTGTCTCAGTTATTCAGTATATAGGCTCAGATCAGAGTAAGCAGAAGAGGACTTTGAACATCAGAGAGCAGTCAGAACTGGAGAATCTACTTGCAGATGAGGGATTTATTACAGGTCTAGTGACTCATTGCTGTTTGGTATCTCATCCTCCAGGGGTCCTCCAGGTGGTCTGGGTTTGTTGTGGGATGGTGGGTTCTGGGCATCATACTTTCTCCATGGCTGCTGATTGGCCTCAGAGCCAGTGTTCCAAGGAAACTCAAAAAAAAACTGCAGGGTCTCTGCCGACCTCACCTCTGACATTCCACATCACTCCTGCTGCATTCTGTTGGGGAAGCATGTTTCATAAATAGAAATTGGACTCTACTTGTCAATGGAAGGAGTAACAAAGAATGTGCAGTCATCTCTAACTGGTCACACAGATAATGCAGAATTTAATGTTAATGCAGTAGAATATAATTATTACATACGTGAAGGTGCTTTTAATGTTTCTGAGAACAAGTTAAAGCATGTTCAAAGAACTGTTTCACTAAAGGAAGCAGGCTATCACATATTTTTAAAAGATTTTCATTGAAAAATTTAAAAGTAATCTTTAAATTCTCAGTTATTTATTACCACGTACATATATATGTATGTGTATTTATGTAAAAATATATATACATATGTGTGCATGTCTATGTAGATACACACACAAATATATATGGTATATTTATGCAAAGATCCCACTGATAAATACATGTATCTATTTTATTTATTAAATTTATTATATAACTAAATTTAAATTTCTAAAAATGTAGTAAAATTTTTATTATTGAAGGCCCAAAGTAACTCAAACTGTTAACTTTTATAATCGAATGCATATTTTTATCTTGGGATTGTTTAATTTTAAAACTATTTATTCAAAAATAAACATATAAAAATAATAGTAAAACTCACACATTCATACTGTTTGTTTCTGCTGTAAAACAAAATTGGAAACAACAGGAAATTGATTGCCTAAAGGAAAACTTAAATTAAATATAATAGCTTAACTATTATGTGAGCAGTAATAAAGTTGAAAATGCATGCCCTTTGTTGTAGGACTTTGAGCCAACTGTTATTTTCATTGAATAATTTCTGATTTATTTATCTAGTCAATCCGAAATCAGCAGTTATCCTTAGAAATATGTCACATATTCTATTATCTCCAAGCATGAATTATCAGATCTTAGAGAAATTTCCAAATAGAAAGCTATATCTATGAAAGTCAAAGTGAATCGTTAATACAGGCTTCCATTGTCTATAAACAATGATCACTTGAGAATTAACTGTTCATTAACATGCTTCATTTTTGAAGCCAACAGTAAATATTATTTAACATGAAAATAATTTTTCAGTTTTACTTTTTTGGATCCTAGATTCTTGTCTGATTTTTACTTGTGAAACATATCCCTAACCCAGAAAGTATCATTCTATGCATGTCCAAATTTACTATGAGGGGTAAATGAATTAAAGTGCTCCCAGAGGGATTAGAACCTGAGGGCAATTTCTTCTTCTTTTTCTTCTTCTATTTTTTTTTTTTTTTTTTTTTTTGACAGGTCTCACTCTGTAACCCAGATTGGAATGCAGTGGTGCGATCTCGGCTTACTGCAATCTCCGCCTCCCAGGCTCAAGTGATTCTCCTGCCTCAGCCTCTCGAGTAGGTAGGATTATAGGCGTGTGCCACTACTGCCTGGCTAATTTTTATATTTTTAGTAGAGATGGGGTTTCACCATGTTGGCCAGCCTGGTCTTGAACTCCTGACCTCAAATAATCCACCCGCCTCGGCCTCCCAAAGTGTTGGGATTACTAGCATGAGCCACGATGCCCGGCCCCCATTTCTTCTTGTAGAAGAATAGATTACATCAACCTGAAACTGCTTTAAGAGTCAAAATGATGCAGCTATTCTTGCAATGTTGGGTGATCAGGGTGATGATTGTAATTTACTTTTGAATTTTCAAATGTTTTGTTGACCTAAACTATAAGTAAAGATGCACTGCTCAGAGAAGCCAGTGAATATCAGAGTAGAAACACAAGCCTGTTATCTCATGCCCGGAAAAAAAGTAAGAATTAAGTATGTTAACTTCTTAGACTATAACACACATTTAATTTCTCACTGAGTATTAGTTTTCCATGGTGCATGTTTTTATGTAAGGAGAGGAAAAATCCATTTTCAAATCCAAGTCACATTTCTCTCTTAGTAATCATATTATTAATATCAGTTAAGGAGTATTTTATTTAAGGCAACAAGTGTTAAAAAATAAATTCCTAAAGGTGTCATGGCTCAAACATGATAGAAAATTATTTCTTGCTCATTTACAAAACTGGTACTTTCGGTTGGTAACTCTTTTCAAAGCAATAATTCAAAGACTCTAGCTCATTTCCCCAATGTCTATGGAATCCTCATCATTGGCTTCTAGGATCACCATGCTTATCTGTACTAGACTGAAGAAATATGGAGAATTGTGCCTGGAAAGTTTTCAAGGGTCAGTCCTGGAATAAATGCATTTATTTAAAACTCAGTCACATGACCATACCTATCTGCCAAGGTTCCAGAAAATATAATCCTGATCCATGACTAGGAAGAAGATAAAATAAGTTTGATGAATAGTTACCCAGTCTCCACCATAGCAGAAGAAGCCCATTCTATTTGAGATTCAGAGATCGGCAAAATAAACTCAGTAGGCAAGAGGCATAGAGAAGGTTGGAAGTCCTATAGCAGCTTAATTAAAGCGCCCTGGCCGGGCGCGGTGGCTCACGCCTGTAATCCCAGCACTTTGGGAGGCTGAGGAAAGCAGATTAGGAGGTCAGGAGATCGAGACCATCCTGGCTAACACGGTGAAACCCCGTCTCTACTAAAAATACCAAAAATGAGCTGGGCGTGGTGGCAGGCGCCTGTAGTCCCAGCTACTCGGGAGGCTGAGGCAGGAGAATGGCGTGAACCCGGCAGGTGGAGGTTGCAGTGAGCCAAGATCGTGCCACTGCACTCCAGCCTGGGCGACAGAGCAAGACTCCGTCTCAAAAAAAAAAAAAAAAAGCATCCAATCAGTCTCCAACACTCAAGAATTATTTGTGAGATTCTTATAGAACTAAAATCTGTCACTAGCTAGTTCTCCTGTCTTCTTTCATGGCACCTGAGAGTTTGAAAAATAAAAGGTTATGAATTGTATGCATGCCATTTTTTTTTTCTGTATTGTATGCATGAAACCATCAAAGATGGAATTCTTTCTACCTGTAGATATCCATTTCTCCTCCAAGAGATCTCAGGTCCCATGACAATGTCACCACTTCTGCTCCTCCTCTGCAAGTGTAATGAAGAGGGTATTTCAGTGGAAGCAATGTATTACTTTCCCTCTCTTGGATTATGACTTGAAAGAATAACATTCACACATTTGTGAACCTGTTCATGCCCCACTTCAGTTATCAGTATTATTCCTCATTGCTTCCCTGCACATGTAGGTTAATATCCTCACTCACCTTTTCTATTCTTGCACCCCTTCCATGCAGGCAAAATGTTATACAGTTTTCAACCCTCATTGATCACATCCCAAACTCCCTCCACTTTGATCACTTGTAGTAGAGTCAGTGTCTCTCACCCATAAGACTTTGAGTTCTCATTAAACTGTGAAGTCAGAGCTTATTACATTTTTATCTTTGCATCCCTAGTACCTAGCAAAATGTCTGCCAGTGGCCAAATGCTCAGAAATTACTGGTAAATGATTTGAAGATTTCCACTGACTATGCTGGTCTACCCTGTTCTGAACTTCACATCAAAACCTATATGTTGAGAGTTTTCATTATGACAAAAATATACTGTGGTCAACATCTTGAATGTAGTGTTAGTTATGATGATATATACCGTTTCTAAAATTTCTCCATATGCACATTGAAAATGAATACATTTTATTACATGTAAATTCTTAAGAGATGTAATTTTAAAAAAGAGCTACTGAAATGCTAAACAAGACAGAAAAATGTCCCTCGAGATTCTTGCTATTGAGCTGACGACCAAATTCAGGCACTTGCAGAGTAGTTGACCTTCTCTTAAGAAGGAGCCCTCCTCTGTGCCCTCACTATAAGAAGGAGCCTCCCAACATTAGATTTTCTCTTGAAGAGCCCTTTGGACTGTTGTTCTGTCTGAGAGCTACTGGAGAATCTCTTTGATAGCTTTGCTTTTGACGGTTTTCTCTGGAGAAAGGTCTAATAGAAGCAAACAGTTAAAACCCTTTTCCATCCTTCACGTTTTTTAAAAAAAGTCTCCCTTTTAATATGATTTTCTAACTCTGTAGCTTCTTTGTGTCATTTTGTTCCTACAAGTGTTCATATATACTTTTAGGTCACATGCATTTCCACACACAATCTGAATGTTTCCTACACCATAGAGAAGGTGTTAGAGACTGGATACTTATACAATGTTATTTAGGGGTCGGGGAAGAGGGAGACTCTATTCCTTAAAACAAGGAACACAAAATTAAAAATATAAAACATGATATAAAAGTAAATATTGGCCAGGGCGCGGTGACCCACTCTTGTAATCCCAGCACTTTGGGAGGCTGAGGTGGGCAGATCACCTAAGGCTGGGAGTTTGAGACCAGCCTGACCAACATGGAGAAACCCTGTCTCTACTAAAAATACAAAATTAGCCAGGTGTGGTGGCACATGCCTGTAATCCCAGCTACTCGGGAGGATGAGGCAGGAGAATTCCTTGAACCTGGGAGGCGGAGGTTGTGGTGAGCCGAGATCACACCATTGCACTCCAGCCTGGGCAACACGAGTGAAACTCCGTCTAAAAAAAAAAAAAAAAGTAAAAACAATGTAAATATTTATCTATAGTGAGACAAGTAATCAAAACCAAAATATGGAGGCTTGGAGATATAGGTCCCTTTCTTCCAGGAGCTCTCGGTAATTTACTAGAAATGCTTCCACAGAAATACTTTTGATTTAAAGATAGATTTTTCTTTCACCCAGAACTTTCTCTAAGTTCTACCAAATTATCTCAATTTGATTGTAATTTAAATGGAAAACATAAAACTACAAACTTTTAGAATATAACATCGAGGCACATTTTTGAGCCCCAGGGCCTGCTGACATGTTCTTAGACATGATACCGAAAGCATAATCCATAAAGGAAAAAAAAAACAGAATTAATTGGACTTTATCAAAACTAAAAATATTTCATCTACGAAAGTAAAAAATGTATGTATGCACAACAATCTGTACATGATTGTTCACAGCATTTCTATTTTTAACGGCCCTAAACTGGAAAAACTAAAATACTCCTCAATAAGTGAATAGTTAAACAGGTTGTGGTACATCTATATCATGAAATACTGCTCAGCAAAAACAAAAGAAGACCTAACAACAAGAAGAACAACAAAAGTGTTGTTAGATGCACCAACTTGGATGGATCTCAAGGGCAGTATGCTGAGTGAAAAAAGCCAATCTCATAAGGTCACAACCTTCTTGAAATAAAGACAATACAGGGATTGGAAACAGATTAGTGGTGGTCATGGGTTAACCATGGCTGTAGTGCAGGGAGAGGATGGGTCTGAGATGGAACAGTTTTGCATTTAGATTGTGGTAGTGCCTATACCTTACACATGTGATTAACTGATATAAACTATATACATATATTGTATCAATGTCAATTTCCTGGTTTAAATAGTGTGCTATAGTTACGTTAAATGAATTCATGGCAGAAACTTGATGAAAAGTACCCAGGACCCCCCTGTCTTTGCACCTTCTAGTGAATTCATAATTATTTCAAAATAAAAAATTTAAAGCTTAAATGTTAGCACTTACACAAGTGGATTACTTTATTACTTCTGGGATATGTACAAATTTGGGTCCTCTTAGTGTCTCCATGATTTTACATGAGGTTGTTCTAACATAAAAAAAAAAAAACAAACTACGTAAAGAGTGTTTTTAAAAGTGAGAAGAAACTACTGCTAGTTTGAGAAAGGGCTAGATCCTAATCAGTAAATAGAAAATCAGTTAACATTCAAATCATGTTTAATTATTTTATCTTGGAATGCACACGATTACTGTTTTATTTTTTACTTTTTAGAGACAGCGTCTAGCTCTGTCACCCAGGCTGGAGCACAGTGGCATGAACACAGCTCACTGCAACCTCCTCATCCCAGGCTCATGTGATACTCCAACCTCAGCCTCCTGAGTGGCTGGGACCACTGGAATATGGCACATACCTGGCTTTTTTGTTTGTTTGTTTTAATTTTTCTTGTAGAGATGAGGTCTCATTATGTTGCCCAGGCTGGTCTCAAACTCCTGGGTTCAAGCGGTTCTCCTGCTTTCCAGCCTCCCAAAGTGCTGGGATTACAGGTGTTAGCCACCACACCCAGCCTATGATTATGATTTTATTCATTAGTCTATGTACCAATATTTAAAAGAAGAATTTGTATCTTGCATGTGTGCACAATTATACCTTACACATAAATGAGTTTGAAATGGTAAAACGGCAAACCTCTAGACTATGACAGCCAAAGACAGGTATTTGATCCTTGAAAATAGAAAATAATATAGGCAATGACTTTTGCAAAATAGTGAGATATTTCCAGGTAACATTTATTCTGAAGGATTTGCTTTCCTATCACTGCAAAGATGGCCTTTTCAACCCTCTCACCATCATCTCATTTGCTGAGATGAGAGAGAGGAGAGAGGGGACAAATGGATATACAGATATATGGGGGCTGGGGGAGACAGAGAGAAACTGTGTTTTCTGGGGCAGGCATAGGTAACATTTACAGATACCTGTCCAAAGTACACACATATATTTCTATAGTCCTAGCATTGCACACGTATTACTCTAAAATGCTGGCATTTTCTGTCAATCTGCTTGGTAGCAAATGCTGAGGAACAAACCAATCACTGGATCTAGGAGCCAAGAACTAACAGAGACTCTGTGCTTTATGTGTGAGCATTTAACTACTGTAGATGGAGACCTGCACGTATTTAAATTGAATATCAGTCCTGTGTAAAGAGTGATTATTCTGATGCTTCTCCGCATCAGATATAAAGTTATATGGAGTCCAAAGACCATCAATAGAGGATTACTCGTAGCCCATCTAATTTTGGAAAACAATAGAGGAGTTTTCTGGTGTGAGGTGAACAGCCTGCTGTTTTCTTTGCCTGGAATGCATTTTCCTCCTCTTCCATGCTTCACCTCCACTCCCCTTACCTAGTTAATACCCACTCATGGCTCAACATTTGCTCAGCTGGTGTTTACCTACGAAGCCTTCTTATTCCTTAGATGAAAATAATTACCCCATGTTCCACTGCCCAGTCAGAGTTAAACAGAACTTCTTTTTTTTTATTTTTCTTTTTAAGAATATAGAGTCTTTAATGTGGTCAGAATTAAGTTGCTATCAGTTTAAAATAGCCTGTTACAAGTGTATTTTATATAAGCCTCATAGTAACCACAAGCAAAATCTATATTAGATACAGAAAAGATTTTTTTTTTAAAAAAGGTTTCAGGCCAGGCACTATGGCTCATGCCTGTAATCCCAGCACTTTGGGAGGCCGAGGTGGGTGGATCACCTGAGGTCAGGAGTTCAAGACCAGCGTGGCCAACATGGTGAAACCCCTTCTCTAATAAAAAAATACAAAAATTAGCTGGGCGTGGTGGCAGGTGCCTGTAATCCCAGCTACTTGGGAGGCTGAGGCAGGAGAATCCCTTGAACCTGGGAGGTCTCTCTGTCTCTCTCAGTCATTATCTCTCTCTTCTTCAAACCTGTAACAAAACTCCATAAGGAAAGAAATTTCATTGTGTTTGTATTTGTCTCCATAGAATCTAGTATAATGCTATGTGTACATATGTACACATATGCGTGTACATACGTGCATGCACACACAGACTTACATACACAGGGCTTGCAGAGGAATAAATTCTGCTTTTAAATTTTCTATTTAAAAAGATACTTCAAAATTCCCTTCAAATTTGATGAAACCAAAAGTTTGATTTACCCAGACGTTGAGGTTTTTTCTTTTATGGGATATACAATTATTCCATAGTGACATGTCCTAAGATAATTTTCATATTCATAGAGGAGGCTGAAGGTAGGATTTTGTGAATCTTTGATAATAGTTACATGAATGTTGAATGTTTGTATATTGAACTTGCATATTCTATTAATACCATCTCTGGAAATAGGGTCATTTGGTTATACCAAGTTTTTTGTATTTACATATTTCAAGAATATCTATTTAAATATATGTAACTAGAGCTACTGGCAGATAACTTAGGTCTATATGGAAATTATGAATAAACAAAAGTAGATGTGAATGAAGCCAAGAAACTCCTAGTGATATAACATGAAGTCTTTACTCAAGCTTTGTTTAGAACCAGTAACAGGGGATTTTACTCTTTTCGTGCAATGGTCCATTTGTCAGTCTAATTAAAAAAAACCACAAAACACCCTCCTCGGAGTAATATAATGTTATTAAATACATAAAATGAAATACAGCGGGGCATGGTGGCTCACGCCTCTAATGCCAGCACTTTGGGAGGCCGAGGCGGGCGGATCACGAGGTCAGGAGATCGAAACCATCCGGCTAACACGGTGAAACCCCGTCTCTACTAGAAATACAAAAAATTAGCCGGGCATGGTGGTGGGTGCCTGTAATCCCAGCTACTCAGCAGGCTGAGGCAGGAGAATGGCGTGAACCCGGGAGGCTGAGCTTGCAGTGAGCGGAGATCGCGCCACTGCACTCCAGCCTGGGCGATAGAGCGAGACTCCGCCTCAAAAAAAAAAAAAAAAAAAAAAAGAAATACATAGGGTTGAAGAGAGAAATGAATCATATTGAAAGCCAATTTTAACTCAGGAGACAGGATAACCTTTTTTTGTTTGTTGTTGTTGTTGTTTTTTTTTTTTTTTTGGTTAAGCAACTTGGCTTTCCTAACATCTAATACTTTTCAAAGTTTTCCATATTTGTTTGCTGCTTATGAAAACCAAATTAATGATGTTTTTTCCTGAATAATCTCATCATGACCTTATTCTTATAATGAAAGAAAACAGAATGCTAAAGCTAGGGTTGACAGATAAAATATAGAACATAGCTTAATTGAATTTTAGATAAATAATTTAAAAATAGTATAAATATGTACCAAGTATTGCATGGGTCTTACTAAAAATTTGTTATTTATCTCAAATTCAAATTTAAATGGACATCCTGTATTTTTATTTGCTAAGCAGGCAACCCTTCAAAAACTGGTCTAGGTTAACAAATGTTAGCGATAAAATTGCCATGATCATGCCCTAAGGAAGTAGAATCGGATCTACTAAGATTCTTATTTTATCTCCGCCTGAAAAATATTAGCCTTATGGGTTGGTTTCAGACCTGTCCCTACATCATATTTTATGAGTTTTGGGAAGGCAAATATTTGCTAAAATAAGATTTAATTCTGTGCTTTAATGTTTTATTGATGATAATATAAAAGTGGTAATAAAAGAATACTTCACTTTTGCAAAAGGCAATTGAATATACTGACTGATATTTTTCCAGAAAGTCTGTCTAGTTGTAGTGACAAGAAGAAAATATCTCTTCCTAGATTATCTATTGAAATTCCTTTTATCAGCAAGAAAGTGTAATTCACTACGTTTTCTCTTTTGCCTTTCTGCAAAAGGCTAAGAGTTCAGATAATAATGTTTAATAGTTATTAAAGTGAACTTATCTATCCTTTTGTTTAAACATTTTGATACATGTCCGCATTTTATTTTCATTTTAACTATCTTATTTTATTCATGTTATTTTTCTAAGCCTGATCAATTTTTACAGAATGATCAGATTATAAGTCCTAAATGAAATGCCACTAATTTGAATCATATTCAGAATGTAATTTGTTAAGTAACAAATTTTACAAGAAATGTGATAGATCATGCAAAAATTATAGGTCTTAAATCCTACATATCTCGAATCAAATTATTTTAATACTAATTTTCATTGCAATTAAAGGATTCAGTAAGGATTGTAAGTACTTTCCATTATACTGAAGACTTGGAACAAGTTCTGATTATTACATATTTTAGCATAGATGACAGGATGCATGCAATGTATCAGCATGTAAAATGAAGGAAAGATAGAAAAACAGTTGCGACAATTTTGTGCAGTAGTACTATCGTGCTGCTATACAAGTAAAACAATTTAATCACACATAACATAGTAATAATGCTTACTTATTGCTAGAAAAACAGGATTTTAATTATTTTAATGATAAATCTGCTTTATAATTAGGCAGAAAAGCAAGCTGTGAAAAAGCAACTTTAGTATTTAATTCTAGTGTTAATTTCAAAAACAAAAACAAAAAAAACCCCTGAAAAACAAAAGAACACAAAGACAGGTTGAAATGTTCCTTTTAGGGTATTACATGCTGTACAGTGCTTTGTAGTTTAAAAAGTTTTATGCCCATGCCTGAATGCATTTTGATTCTCAAAGCATCTTTTGGGGTAGGTTTGGCAGGCACTATTGTTCATTCCTACAAATAGTTTAAAATTTTTAAGAAAAACATTTTAGTACTTTATTGAAAATCCTATATTTGCAGCCTTCATTCTTAATGTTTGTAGCACATTGAATTTTATTGATTGTAAGACAAATTTATTTCAACTGGATTGTTGAAATAAACTCTAAATAACTCTAAAAATAAACTCTAAAAATCATGGTCACGGAGGTTGAGTCAGATTATGCTTGCCATTTACCTGTGCATGTGCAAACCTCAAATACCTCAGCCTTAAAACTTGGAGAATGAGTGTTCCTGTGGAAGATTATTCTTCAGAGATGATAGTGGAGTACTCTTGAAAACCCTAGGTACCAAATTGCTGCAGAAGTATTTGAAGGACCTGGTGAATCTAATATGTTTTACCAACATACTACAAGTTGAAATCAAAAGTTGACTGCTCGTACATAATTGCAAAGTCAGATGTCAGATGCCAACATCAAAAGCTCTTCAAAAATACCACATAACCAATGCTCTTTGTAACCCAAGGGATGACACTGTGTGGAAAAGCACAAACATCAAGAACTCTAAACCTAAAAGTGATTTAGACAAGTTAAATTCCAAATGTGAAGTAATTATAGACTGTTAATATATTTGCCTTATAAATTTGTATGTATATGCATGATAAAAATCTATCACTAATTAAGGGTAAAAAACTTGCAACAAAAATAAGCTTTCTAGATATTAAAAAGCATATCATTTAATTGAATAGATGTTTTCCTTCTTGTTACACAGAATAAGGTGTATCTATGTAATAAAGACGTGTAGGATTTGAGTAATGCTGTGCTAAATACTTACTATCTTGAGTTCTGGTTTGGAGCTATATTGTCCCATTTATCTGTCTGTCAATTCTTATGCTAGTACCACAACATTTCAATTATTTTATGCCTGTAAGACATGCTAACATTTTAGGGTAAGATATTATTTCTCTATTATTCTTCATTTGCAAAATTCGCTTGGCTATTATTTCATATTAGTTTTTCAAATGTAACTGCAGAATTAGAATGCAGAATTGCTTCTCAAGCACACCACACTGTGCAGCAAGTGAAACTGCACTGGAGTCATGAGCAATAGGCATTTTCCACACTTGGGATCTAGAAACACAAGATGCCTTTCCATTTTTTCTGTTTTTCAAACGTTACTGTGTTTGGTAAAGAAGGTTGTTTTTTTTTTGTTTGTTTTTTGTTTTCTGCTCTGGGCTATATATCTTTCAATGTTAACTTTATTCTCTAATAGATTATTTCTTCTGCTTATTGCTGAAAGATGAACAACAAATTTTATGAAGATTTGTGTAAGAATAGTGGATGAAAATTTTGGTAGATGTTAGCATTTGCTTATTTGGAAACACACGCTTAGAGAACATTCCCACTCTGACCAGACTAGAAATCTGAGGTTTGACAAGAGTGACTTAATTTCACACCTTCTCTCTCTGTCTTTTTTTTTTCGTGTAAAGAAAACAGTCATCAGCATAAGATTTAAAATCTTAAATGTACAATATGTTTGACTCATCTGATACGTTCCGCCTTTGCTGCAATGGCCTTCAATACAGTAAAAATAACCACACTCATGCGTTAGAATCATCTGTGCAAACTAAAGTATATGGCAAAATTTTAAAGAAATCACCAACTTCAATTAATTTATTTTGAAAGAAAGAAAAGGAATTTGCAGTAATACTTGAAACATTTAAAATGAGGATTTTTTAAAAATATGCTATTAAAAATATGAATTTATTTAAGACAATCTGAGATGACTGAATTATAAATTGTGTAAAAGGCAATTTAGAATTTTTAAATTATCAATGTATGTAAAATATAGGATATTTCATTTGTTGCATTGTTAAATTATTGCTTATTTTTTAATAGCATAAAATAAAGTAAAGGCTATGTTTTAGACCAATGTTAGTTTTTACTCTTATCTATATATAATTGGTAAATGGAGAAAATGTCAGTGAGAAATCTAAAATCAAAATAAGATATGATTTTTAAATAAATTGTACAGTAATTTTTCTGTTGAAATTATGAACAATATAAATATTTTATCATAGTTTTCTGTAGTTTTCAAAATATCATATTTGTGGATATAACCCCTGTTTAATCATAAAAAATTATAAATGACTAAAGATAAAAGAGGAAAGGAAATAGAGAAGAAGCTATTGTAAAAAGAATTGAAAAGCAGTGTTTTCCTGCTATTTAACTTTGAAACAGAAAACTTTTTTTGTTGCAATGATTCTTCACTACAATACCAAAATTCTGAAGAGAATGTTTTCAGGTTACCATATCACCAAATCAGCATAGCCAGAGACCAAACAGTGAGCTCTAAACTATCTTTACTAGATTTGAAACTCCAGCATATTATATTTACCAAGGTAAATTATCCCTCTTATGACAAGTTTTTGTTATCCTAACTGATAATTTAGAAAACTAAAGGTCATTTAGTGTAAAAAACATAGTTGAAATACAATTACTTTCTCATATGTATCTTAAAATGATATTTCAAACTTCCTTATGCAGTGTTGCTATCTGTTAATTCTCCCATATATCTTATTGAACTAGCTTTTTTTTTTTTTCTTTTTCTTTTTTTGAGACACAGTCTCACTTTGTAGCCCAGGCTGGAGTTCAATGGCATGATCTCGGCTCACTTCAACCTCTGCCCCCAAGTTCAAGCCATTCTCTTGCCTCAGCCTCCCAAATAGCTGGGACTACAGGCATGGGCCACCATGCCCTGCTAATTTTCATATTTTTAGTAGAGACGGGGTTTCACCATGTTGGGCAGGCTGGTCTAGAACTCCTGACCTAAGGGATCAGCCCACCTCGGCCTCCCAAAGTGCTGGATTGCTGGCATGAGCCACTGCTCCCGGCCAACTAGCTTTAACTAGAATATTATCTTCAGCCTGGCAGTTAAACAATTTAGTCCAGTAGTTACATACCTTAAGAACATTTAGAGAAAACACCAAAAAATTACTAAAAATTCTGGTAAAATTAATACCCATGACTAGAGATATGAAAGTCTGGCATTAACTAAGTTGAGAAAGAGCTGTTGGAACAGTCTGGAGAATAATATGAAATGTTAGAATGCAAGGTCAATGAACAGATGGTTCTGCATTTTTATAGCTAACACTACTAATTGGAATGGATTTAAAATTTAGCAAACAGAGTTCTTCAAGTGCAAATTGTTAAGAAAGAGAGGCATACATTCTTTCTAAGTGGCTTGGTGGTTGTACTTGATTATTATGGACTGGATGTGGACTAGATAATAAGATATAAAATTGACAAGAGATACCATGGCCTGATAATGGTACTCATTTTTTATGTGTATGCATAATTTAAGCTATGTTTTTCACTCATATGTTCTAATCACTTTGCATTTTTTCTCCTGTACTGTGTGGGATTTGAGAGTCGAGGTGAAAGGAAGAACCCAAACAAAGAGATTGTTCTTAAAGGCATGTTAGGGTCCTTTGGGTTAATTATACAAGGTTTGCTGACAGCGCCTGATAAGACCGTTGAGGTCATTCTGTTGTTGACGTCTCTTCAATCTCAATACGCCACTCAGCAAAGGCCAAGGCAGATAGAGCTTTTCCACTATCTTTATAGCACAAAATGCTACGCTGAAGAGAGAAAACACACACTCTCTCTCTCATTCTTACACCCACACAAAACCTGAGAAGCCCAAACTGCCACACACTTTGTTGATGACAAGGTCAGCATGATACCTTAGAACCATTCATTTCTTTCCACTCCACTTCACTTTCAATATGCAATTTTAAACATCATAATTTTTACCACCAGAATGTTACAAAAAATGTCTGCTAATTGCTTTGTGTCCAAAAAAGAAACCAAAAGAAAATGGTATTTTGCTTTAGACACTAACAAAATGTAAAGGGTAAATGAAGCTATGTCTTAGTAGTATGGCAGAGGCAGAGGAGCAGGGCAAGAAACGGTATGTAAGACACGAACTAGTCACTAGTCTCACAGTTCTACTGAAAAGTGAGCTTTATCTAGTTGATGACATCATGCAGCCCCATGAATAATAAATGAATACATATTTATTGAGTGCTTATTAAGACCTCCGCAAAGCTCTGCCTCTGTATAAATGAGTGAGATGAAAGCACTGTTCTCACAGGAAGGTTATAAAGGAGCTGGGGGAAACATTAATGCAAGACACAGATCATAAGAGAGAAACTTCATAGTAAAAACGATAAAGAACACATGAGTTCTTCCAGAGCAGGGGTCCCCAACCCCTGGGCCGTGGACCTGGTACCTGTAGTGGCCTGTTAGGAACCAGGCTGCACAGCAGGAGGTGAGCAGCGGTGAGCCAGGAAAGCTTCATCTGTATTTACAGCCGCTCCCCATTGCTCACATTACCACCTGAGCTTGGCCTCCTGTCAGATCGTCTGTGGCATTAGAGTCTCACAGGAGAGTGAATCCTATTGTCAACTGTGCATGCAAATGAGCTGGGTTGTGTATTCCTTGTAAGAATGTAACTGGCTGGGTGCCATGGCTCATGCCTATAATCCCAGCACTTTGGGAGGCTAAGGTGGGTGGATCATTTGAGGTCAGGAGTTCAAAATCAGCCTGACCAGCATGGTGAAACCCTGTCTCTACTAAAAATACACAAATTAGCTGGGAGTGATTGTGCATGCCTGTAATCCCAGCTACTCAGGAGGCTGAGGCAGGAGAAGTGCTTGAGCCCGGGAGGCAAAGGTTGCAGTGAGCAGAGATCACTGCTCTCCAGCCTGGGTGACAGAAGATCACTGCTCTCCAGCCTGGGTGACAGAGCAAGACTCGGTCCAAAGGAAAAAAAAAGAAAAAGAGAGACAGAGAGAATCTAACTAATGCCTGATGATCTAACGTGGGACAGTTCCATCCTGAAATATTTACCCTACACCCAAGTTTCATGGGAAACCCATCCCTGCTGCCAAAAATGGATGGGGGCTGCTGCTCCAGAGGACCGATAGTGCATGACCATTAATCTGTGTCATGGGAGAATAAGGTTTTTTTGTTTGATTGTTTTTTATTGTTTTTTATTTTATTTTTTTTTGGAGCCCCCTTCTGGGCAAGAAAGAAAGGGATCGATGAAAAATATGCCTCCTATACAGAACCAAGACTAAAAGGGTCGAGGTGGAATAAAATGTTCCTATAGTTCGTAAGCAGCCGTAGTTTGGAGTGCTTTGGCATGTATCAATGGAAAGCCAGGATAGTGTGGTTAGGAATCCATACTCTGTAAAAAAAAAAAAAAAAAAAAAAACCCTGCCTGTGCCATTTGGCATGCTTAGTTCAATTATTTTGAATGCTATAAAAATAGAGATGGAGGAGAAAAAAAGATTTCAAAGTAGGAAATGAAATAGGAAGAATGTTCAGGCAGAGATTGAGGCAAGAAGGGAGTAGAGCCCAGGCAGATCTTATCAATGTGAATCAGTCTCACCATAAGTCCTAACTTCCCTGTTGGGAAAGCAACAGCTCAACCAGAGACCAGAATCATAGGTTACTGAAATTGAAGGGCCCAGAGAAGTCATCTTGTCAAGCTTCTGCATCTTTTTTATCTCATGGATCCTACTGACTGGTCATACCCTCCAAAATTCTGAGATTTAAAAAATGCTTACAATAAGTTATTTTTCTCTGTTAAATTTCTCAGTCAGCATTGGCTTTTTTTATTTGTTTGTTTGTTTTGAGACAGAGACTTGTTTTGTCACCCAGCCTGGAGTGCAGTGGTGTGATCTCAGCTCACTGCAACCTCCACCTCCCTGCTTCAAGCGATTCTCCTGCCTCAGACTCCCAAATAGTTGGGATTACAGGCACCCAACAAAACACCTTGCTAATTTTTGTATTTTTAGTAGAGATGGAGTTTCACCATGTTGGCCAGGCTGGTATTGAACTCCTGATCTCAATTGATCCACTCTCCTTGTCCTCCCATAGTGTTGGGATTACAGGTGTGAGCCACGCATTTTCTTCTCTTGTTTCTTTCAAAGTGAAACATTACATGCCCACCACAGGAAATTCTTTAAATGTGAACTTCGGAAATTCTAAGAAGCCTGCATCTGAAACAGTTATCATCAGTTGGAGTTTTATTAACGGCCCTGCGAGACTAAACAAAAATCTGTGGGCCTTTACAGCTAGTTCAGAGAACTGGGAATGAGATGAGTTGTGGTTGCTAAAAACATAAACTTACTACCACTCTATGATATTATTTTTCCACACTGGCTTTTAATAAATACGAAGCCACAGGCTGGGCGCAGTGGCTCACTCCTGTAATCCCAGCACTTTAGGAGGCCTAGTGGGCGAGTCACCTGAAGTCAGGAGTTCAAGATCAGCCTGGCCAATATAGCAAAACCCTGTCTCTACTAAAAATATAAAAAAACAAATTAGCTGGGCATGGTGGCAGGCACCAGTAATCCCAGCTATTTGGGAGACTGAGGCAGGAGAATCGCTTGAACCTGGGAAGTGAAGGTTGCAGTGAGTGGAGATCGTGCCACTGCACTCCAGCCTGGGCAATAAGAGCAAAACTCTGCCTCAAAATAAATAAATAAGAAGCCACAGAAACATGGATTAAAGCAAAATTTCCACACATAACCTTAGTGAAAGTTAAAACAAACTAGGATTCTAAATAGTCCCCAAAGTGTATATTAATTTACAATTAATTTATTCAGAAGTTTTACTTGAAAACTTTTCTCTAGCATTTATAACTCTTCTTATTTATGCTGTTAAGTGTCATGGTATATATTTAAATCACACTTGTTTGGAATAACAAGTTTGTTTTCACTAAACATTTCTGATGTATTAATATCATCTGCTTTTTACCTGCTATCAGTAGGAATGTTAACAGATTTCGATATCTTGTCTCGTTAACACCAAACAATGGGTGTTAAGATGTTTTTTAAAAAAATTCCTTGTTCTCATGATTATATATAATATATGTTATATATTATATATAATATACTTAATTTATAACTATTGTATATAGTGCATAATTTTCAAAGACAAAAACAATTGAATAAGAGATAGACTTTCTTCTTATAAGTTCATCAGTTTCAAATAATCTTGCATGTATTACCCTTCCTTTTTATTGTCGTGTTAATAAAGCAGTTTTAAATATAGCTGAGCTTAAAATCAGAATGTGTGACTTTTCTGTTAGTTCATAGTAAGTTACCACAAGGCCTGGGCCCTTGGTTAAAGGGTTTGCCTGATTAGGTCAGGCTTATTCAGGATGATTTCCACTTTGATTAATTCAGAGTCAGCTTGTAAGAGTTCCTAATTACATCTAAAAAATTCTGCCAAATTCTATTCGCCAGAAATAAATCACAAGTTCTGTCAATATTCATGGTAGGATGTGGGTGGGGAACGAGGTCATACATAGGTGTCCGGTACTAAGGTGTGACAATCACAGATGCCATCATAGAATTCTCATTACTACCTAAGAACGAATTCAACAGCAGTATTTCACCCGGAACATAGTAGCTCTCATTTCTAACTTCTCTCCTGTCTGAGCTACTTATGGCATAATGAAAACAAAAACGAAGAGCTAATTGCAAACTTATGCATCTATAAAAATTTTCATTTAAAGTTAATATTGTTATGTGTGTATTTGGTCCTGTCATTAGGATGTTAGCTGGTTATTTTGCTCGTTAGTTGACGCAGTTTTCTTCCTAGCCTTGATGGTCTTTACATTTTGGCATGTTTTTGCAGTGGCTGGTACTGGTTGTTCCTTTCTATGTTTAGTGCTTCCCTAAGGAGGTCTTTTAGGGCAGGCCTGGTGGTGACAAAATCTCTCAGCATTTGTTTGTCTGTAAAGTATTTTATTTCTCCTTCACTTATGAAGCTTAGTTTGGCTGGATATGAAATTCTGGGTTGAAAATTATTTTCTTTAAGAATGTTGAATATTGGCCCCCACTCTCTTCTGGCTTGTAGAGTTTCTACCGAGAGATCCGCTGTTAGTCTGATGGGTTTCCCTTTGCAGGTAACCCGACCTTTCTCTCTGGCTACCCTTAACATTTTTTCCTTCATTTCAACTTTGGTGAATCTGACAATTATGTGTCTTGGAGTTGCTCTTCTCGAGGAGTATCTCTGTGGCGTTCTTTGTATTTCCTGAATCTGAATGTTGGCCTGCCTTGCTAGATTGGGGAAGTTCTTCTGGATAATATCCTGCAGAGTGTTTTCCAACTTGATTCCATTCTCCGTGTCACTTTCAGGTACACCAATCAGATGTAGATTTGGTCTTTTCACATAGTCCCATATTTCTTGGAGGCTTTGTTCATTTCTTTTTATTCTTTTTTCTCTAAACTTCCCTTCTCGCTTCATTTCATTCATTTCGTCTTCCATCACTGATACCCTTTCTTCCAGTTGATCGAAAATTTTTGCAACCTACTCATCTGACAAAGGGCTAATATCTAGAATCTACAATGAACTCAAACAAATTTACAAGAAAAAAACAAACAACCCCATCAAAAAGTGGGCGAAGGATATGAACAGACACTTCTCAAAAGAAGACATTTATGCAGCCAAAAAACACATGAAAAAATGCTCATCATCACTGTCCATCAGAGAAATGCAAATCAAAACCACAATGAGATACCATCTCACACCAGTTAGAATGGCAATCATTAAAAAGTCAGGAAACAACAGGTGCTGGAGAGGATGTGGAGAAATAGGAACACTTTTACACTGTTGGTGGGACTGTAAACTAATTCAACCATTGTGGAAGTCAGTGTGGCAATTCCTCAGGGATCTAGAACTATAAATACCATTTGACCCAGCCATCCCATTACTGGTTATATACCCAAAGGATTATAAATCATGCTGCTATAAAGACACATGCACACGTATGTTTATTGCGGCACTATTCACAATAGCAAAGACTTGGAACCAACCCAAATGTCCAACAACGATAGACTGGATTAAGAAAATGTGACACATATACACCATAGAATACTATGCAGCCATAAAAAATGAAGAGTTCATGTCCTTTGTAGGGACATGGATGAAACTGGAAACCATCATTCTCAGCAAACTATCGCAAGGACAAAAAACCAAACACCGCATGTTCTCACTCATAGGTGGAAATTGAACAATGAGAGCACATGAACACAGGAAGGGGAGCATCACACTCTGGGGCTTGTTGTGGGGTGGGGGGAGGGTGGAGGGATAGCATTAGGAGATACACCTAATGCTAAATGATGAGTTAATGGGTGCAGCACACCAGCATGGCACATATATACATATGTAACAAACCTGCACATTGTGCACATGTACCCTAAAACTTAAAGTATAATAATAATAAAATTAAAAAAAATTTTCATGTGAACAGAAGACTGAGGGTCAAAAGAATTGAGAAAATAAAATAAGTTTACTTGAAAAAAAAGTTGCAATGAAATCTGATTGCAGAAGAATTGGCTGATCAAATAAAAACATAATGTGTATTTTAAGGAAACAATGCAAAATTATCAAGGTTACCAAGTGTACATCAGTCTAAGAATTTGTTTGATGGGTTTTTATGTTTGCTTATTTTAAAGAAAAATCAATTTGTAAGAATTTCAAAACAGCAAAAATGCTTCATGTTGTATTTATATTAAATTGACATTGATTAAATGATGCCTACTTATTCCTTAGAAGTCTATCCATGTAACATGAATACTCTTATTAATGTCTTAGAAAGTTTACCTGTATCATTAAACCCCTCAACTAAACCTCTTTGATTCTTCTTAATTTTTTTACTTTATGTTCAGACAGTTGAATTAACCATATTTTGTTATGATACAAAAACTCAGTTCCTGTTTATTGTTTTAACTTTGTGCTTTTTCTAAGTTAAATGGCTCTCACATTATATTGCCATCGTCATTAGCATTATCTAAGTTCTTCTAAACTTTATTGCTGTGACAAAAATGAGGAAGAAATACTGCTTTCTAAAATGACATTATGACTTCTTTGCTGTGAGGTCTGTGTTGTAAATCATCACCTCTATTCCCCAACTGTGAAAGGTAAAGTCCAGTCTCTATTGCTCTCTTGAGTTTTAAAACAACATAACGTATTTGGAGGAGTTAAAAGACCTTGCTAAATATTGGTCTGTGTTAGGAAGTGTCAAAACATAGACATTACATACAGAGGAAAGAAGACTTCAAGGGTTAAGTACATTTTCAAGGTCATGACACTACAAAATGGCAGAGTTGGGGCACACATACAGAATTTCAGAGTCCAAATTTTTAACCAATTTTACTTTTTTTATATCGCATTAAGAGGAATTTATTTGTATTTCCATGTATTTACATGTTGTACACTATTCATCTTGTAACAGCGTCACAGTTTTTCAAGTGAAACATTTTATTATATTTAAAATTTTTGTATAAATATAGCTGGAATTAAAATAATTACATAAAACAATGTTTTTAATACTTTTAACATCTTTCTTTTAGAATAGTCTTAGATGGATCTTGCACACGTATTCCAACAATGATGTAATTGATTAAAAATAATTGAAACTATTTATTGAATAGTCATCTTTTTAATTTATCATATGCCTTTTATTATCTTAAGCATGTAAGATTTCCATTGTTTGATATTAGATTTGAATTTTTGGAAATAAGCCTAACAGTCATAGAAAACAGACTTGGTAGATAAAATATACAACCAGCCTGAATAATACATTTCTTTGTTTTTCCTCAAAATGATTTCATAATCATTAATCGGCCCATGGCTTACTCCTTTGGTACCATGGTGTGTAAAATCTATAACATTTCTATGAAATCATCCTCATCTTTGGGAGATTTATTATAAACAATGACAACTGAGGTAAAAAAAAATGAAATAGATATAGTCTTCTCTTATAATTTCAATTAGCATAATTCTGTTTTTTTTTTTTTTTTTTTTTCGAGACAGAGTCTCTCTCTGTCGCCCAGGCTGGAGTTCAGTGGTGCGATCTCGGCTCACTGCAAGCTCCGCCTCCCGGGTTCACGCCATTCTCCTGCCTCAGCCTCCCTAGTCGCTAGGACTACAGGCACCCGCCACCACGCCCGGCTAATTTTTTGTATTTTTAGTAGAGACAGGATTTCACCCTGTTAGCCAGGATGGTCTCGATCTCCTGACCTCGTGATCTGCCCACCTCGGCCTCCCCAAGTGCTGGGATTACAGGCCTGAGCCACCGCGCCCGGCCAGGGGATGTCTTATTTCTCTGCAAACTTTACAACGAAACTCTTAAAAAAGACATGTTAGTACTATGGTTTTAATTTTTCTTGTCTCATTTTTAATAATTTACTCTGATTAGGCTTTCGTCTCCAACTTTCTACAAAAACTATTCTTGTCAATGCCGTACATATTAATGCCTCCTCCTCACTGAGTCTCATGCTTAGTCCTCATCTTTCTTGACTCAACAGTAGTACTTGACATGGCCGAACTATTTGCATCCTTAAAACACGGTCTTCACTTGGCTTCAGACATTACTTGATCTTGATTTTCCTTTTACATTATGGATCATATTTCACTCTTTTCCCAGTGTTCTTGAACTCCAATTGTTGACATGCCATTCTTCTCAGTGCTTGGGCCTCTTTATCTACATTCATGGATTGCATAGTGTTTTATGCATTTAAAAATCACCCATTCAGTGAGTATTCCCAAATTTATATCTCTAATCCTGTCTTCTCCTGAAAGCCTCAGACTTGTATCCCAACTGCTTATGTGGCAATGTAGACTAATAGGCATCTGAGTGATAAAAAATTTTCAAATCTACTAAGGTAGTTTGAAATCCTCTTAAATAAGAACTAAGCATGACAGTCAAGCTCCTTGGGAAACTTTACCTGGAAAGTATGTTATATATCCATACACCTGACAAAGGTAGTAGCAGCACTGGGATTTGCAACCTCTTAGATTACTAGGGCCTATTAAAACAATAATAATAATAATAATAATAAACTCCTCTGTAGGATAAGAGTTATAATTATTGATCTGTATGAATAAGATAATACATGGCAACAAACCTTTATTTAAATTGATTTACAATTTAAGTTTATAATGCATTAATTACAATAAAAGCTGTATTTGTTCAAAAATATTGCTAGGCATAAAAATAGATAATATTTATTAACGTTAGCTAAGTCACCATAGGCCCTTCACATATACTGCTAACTTAAATTGAGGAAACTATTAGTAAGACTTCTGCTTTACACTCAACGAGATAATCTGCAGCCCTCCAGAACTCTGTGCTCCACATTTAGATAACTACTCATGAAGATAATTCAACACTAGGAGTCAGAGAAATCTATTCTTGTTCATTTTTCGCTACTTACCAGTTATGTGACTTTGATAAAGCCACTTATCCACTGTGAGCTTTAGATTCTAAATGCGTAAACAGACATCCTGTTGCGTGGTCTGCCTTGCAAGGTTTTTATAAGATATACATAAAATTAAACTTGAAAACACCTAAATGTGAGACATTATAGTTATTTCTGTAGACACAGTCTAATTATTATTGTAGACACAGGTATATTTTATTCTTCAGTTCCTCTCTTGTTAGTATTTTTTTTTTTTTTTTTGTTTGAGACAGAATCTCACTCTGTCGCCCCGCCTGGAGTGCAGTGGTGCAATGTCAGTTCACTGCAGTCTCCACCTCCCAGGTTCAGGTGATTCTTTTGCCTCAGCCTCCCTAGTAGCTGGGATTACAGGCACCTGCCACCACGCCAGGCTAGTTTTTGTATTTTTAGTAAAGATGGGGCTTCACAATGTTGGCCAGGCTGATGTCAAATTCCTGGCCTTAGGTGATCCACCCACCTCAGCCTCCCAAAGTGCTAGGATTACGGAAGTGAGCCACTGTGCCCGGCCCCTATTTTGTTAGTCCTTTAAGGGACCATATAATCATATAATATAGTGGGCAACCTGGTCTCTTTCTCTACAGATTCAATTTCTAATCACGAAGGAGGAGAAAGAAATTGAGTTGTGTCTTTGGGTATATTCTTGTGAAATGAAATTCAGTGGAGTAAGGAGGAAAATATGAGGCATATCAATGGCATAAATATTTGTATTTTGAGTGGTGTAGTTGGCCAAAGGATTGGCACTAGCTTCAGGTGTGTCCTACTTGGCAGTGGTACAAGTCAACATGGTTGTATGTGTCAGTTTTGTTACATATTCAAATGTACAGTATAACAGGAGTCTCAGAGGACACTGTGATTTCTAAAAATAAGTAAGGTAAAAATGGGTTTGTAGTTTTAGCTGTTTGTCCTCTTTTGTTCCAATTGCATACACATCAAATCAAATTATTCTTGTGGACTGTTTTTCTTTATATGTTCTTCTTCTGTACCCACATAGAAGAAATCATAAACTTTAACAAGATGATAATTTACATATCAAAAACTTGATTTAAGCCATAGCCAGTACATAAAAATTCATTTTTGTTTAGTAGGTTTATGTCTAATTAGCTGACCAACAGGGGGTGTGCTAATAGTGTCAGATAACTGAAGTAAATGGTATTTAACAGCATGGGGTTCCAATAACACAGGAGAACACAGGAGCAACCTTCTAGGCTTTATTTCATTCAAGTCCATAAAGTCCCCTGTGGTCGCAGCAGTGCATATTTAAAATCAGTTAATCATGTTACTCATGGGTGTTGGATATCTTTCAAAATGGCCTCTGGTAATGAGCTATTTGTCCTGCATTGTGACAATAAGTCTCTTCCATAATTTATAAAGCTCATGCAGATGATGGTTAGAGATTCCATAAGAAAATAATGCAGGGATGTTCTACTTCCTGCTTAATTCCTACTTAAATACAGTTAGATACTATAAGTGCATAAATCTACATAGTCCACAATACTTTTGTGAAATATCATTTCATTTTATTATGATGATTTTTGCTTTTGTCTTGTTCAAGTAGTTTTAAATTTTGGATGTGTTGGTGGGTATAGGAGTGACTAAAAGAGAGAAATGTCTATTGACCCAACTGGTACTTTTCATACTTTTTTTCCATTCTGTCATTGTTTGTCTTAAGTACTCTACATTTTGTAAGCATTGATCTCATCTTTGCACACTGTAGTGATAAGGGGTATGCATATTCTTACACATACAGCTTCTCCCCTGACTTAACCAAATATATCAAGCAAGAAAAACAACCCTCTTCAGCTAGAAGTCTTCATCAAGAAAACATATATGAAGTATACATACGAATACACACACACACACACACACACACACACACACACACACACACGGGAGTTTACAACCATACATTACAGAGTTCTGCAAACTCAAATAGCATTCCATTTTCTGGACAATTCTATCTGTAGACATCAGATGTACTCGCAAACCGTACATTGTTGTTTAAAGTTCTTCAATAAGAGATTCTAGGCTTTTAACCTGTGTTTATAATTCTAACAATCTTTGCATTTAGAATGCAAAGTCTTGAACTCTAACCTTTAAGATGCTGGTTTTTTACCTTTCAGAGGTCTTCTGACAGGGCCCTGCCATTGTACTTCCCCATTTCATATCCTTATTGCCCATTAATTAATAGCTTCAAGGTTTAACCGAACATAGCCTGTGGATAAGTTCTTCTTCATGTGGGGGTGTGGGAGGTGTGTACTTCCTGTTCTCAATTCCAGCTACAGGAACATCCTCTCTCAAACATTGACATGAGAACAAGACAGTGTAAGACAGTGGAATCAATAAGCTAATGAACATCAATACAAAGTAAATTCTTTCACCTCAATTTGAATGTGAAGTAAGATTAATCCTTATTAAGAAAGAAAATGATGCAAAATGGATAAATGTGACCATTTTGTTTTATCATGTTATTCAATTCATCCTAACTGAGCAGTTAGAGATTTTCTAGAGTTTGGATGGAGAAGTGGATCATGGTTTCATGTAAAATATTGATTCACATGGTTTTCAGCTTTACTAGATCTTGGCAAACCTTTCCTCCTCCCTTCAAACACACACACGCACTTTCTTTAAACATTCTACTTTCCATTTTCCTTTAAGCTCCTAAGCATGACAACCTGGGAGCCCACTGTAAATGACTTTTCTCCAGGTCGCTGCTTATGGTTACAACTTCTACACAGAAAACAATTTTGCCAGTATTTCCCTCATCTCATCAAGCACAGCTTCCTTTCTGCAAAAACGACAGCATCCAACGTGCAATGACTGAAGTTATTATAACATCTTGTTCAATGTAAGCACAGCTGAGTTCCTTAGAACATGGTTTGCCTAAAGGTCAGATGCTCAGGCTCAGGTTGGGAGAGAAATGATATTGAAGGGACAAAATAGCAAACATAAGAAGCCACCTTTGCTCATTTCTGCTTCCCAGCATAATTTCCCAAAGCGCTTGGCCCTGTGACAACATACAGTGCTCCAAAAAAAAAAAAAAAAAAAGAGGTCGAAACAAAATAAAACATACCCCACTACGTCTCTTGCATGAGTCAGTATTCCTTAAAAAATAAATGACCCTAATCATTGCTTTTTTCTAACATAAAATAATGTCTGATAGGATTAAAAATTATGCCTCTATAATCTGTAATCATGAATCATATAATCTATCAGTATCATATAATCTATAAGATCATATCTTATCATATAATCTATATGAGTGTAGCTTATAGATTACATCTTATAGATAAGATATACTCTTGTCCCTCATTACCTTAGGGGAAGCTCTCGTTCACTGGCAGATTGCCATGGCTAATTCCAGCTGCCGTTCATTCAAATGTTAATACGGATATAGGATTTTATTTATTTATGGTAGAGTTGTAGGAAAACAAAATGTCTCTATTAACATTTCTCTATTTTGCTAAAATATTCTGAAATTATAGGCTCTGATAAATAATATGTTATATCTTATAGGTAAGATACACTGTTACATCCAAACTTTAATATAATTTTACAGGTACTAACCCCCCATTACCTATATGTAAACATCAGAATCAAAAATTGATCCCTTGACTTAACTGAATATTTAAACAAGAAAAACAATCATCTCCAGGTAAAAGTCTTCATCAAGGAAACAAATAAGAAGTATACACATAAAAGAATGCACCCCGCCCCCCGCCACACACAGGACTATACAACCACACATTAAAGAGTTCTGCAAACTCAAACACCATACCATTTTCTGGGCAGCTTTATTTATTTATTTATTTATTTAATTTTATTTATTTATTTATTTATTTATTTTTTGAGATGGAGCCTCGCTCGCTTGCCCAGGCTGGAGTGCAGTGGCATGATCTCGGCTCACTGCAAGCTCCGCCTGCCGGGTTCACGCCATTCTCCTGCCTCAGCCTCCCGAGTAGCTGGGAGTACAGGTGCCCGCCACCATGCCCGGCTAATTTTTTGTATTTTTAGTAGAGACGGGGTTTCCCCGTGTTAGCCAGGATGGTCTCGATCTCCTGACCTCGTGATCCACCCTCCTCAGCCTCCCAAAGTGCTGGGATTACAGGCGTGAGCCACCTCGCCTGGCCTGGGCAGCTTGATTTATGATCCGTAGGCATCAGATATAGATATAAAGTAAAACCCTATGTCAAAAGAGTCTGAAGAAACACCTGTCTAAAAGATTTTCCTGGACTGTAGACTTTAGTCTATAGTCCTCAAGAAAACTTCTAAATAAAACTTACTTCCATTCTTTAAAAACTTAATTTTCTTTCACTCAACGCAGACCTGTGGAGACTAATGAAAGAAAGATCAAAGGAAGATATTCCAGCTGGATTATGAAGGTTGAGGAAAGATCGTATTAATATGTATAGAATTTCAATAACAGCAAGCTAAAGATTGTTGATTAGAATTCATTATTCTAGAGAGTGTTAACCAGTTTGAAGAGTGGTCTTTTTCTAATTTCAAAAGAATCCAACAACTTAAAGCAGTCTAAAATGATGATTCAACTAATCACTAAATTTAAAATAAACTGAGCTTGATATGATTTTAGGTTAAGAAACAGAATCTACAAATGAGAAAGAAAGCCAGTAGTTTATCCTCCTCCTTTGCTGGGTTATGAGGCTGGAGTGGGAAGGAGGTCTTGGATTCTGTTTCTATAGGTGAAGAAAATCAGGGGCTTGATACATCGCCTTACTAGGATGATGCCAACAATAAAGATTTCACTGTTAGTCCTAAATCTTGTCTGCAAAGCAGCTGCTGTTATCTTCTCTTTGCTGTGGTTCATCTTAATTAGAAAGACTATTTTATGGTAGGAGGAAGTATAGTCCCATTTATTTTGATTATACTACATGAGAAATTCTAAAATCAGAGGGTTGACCCTATAATTTAGAGAGAATAGGAATTTTCAGAAGTGAATGTGTGAGACTGGGCACAATGCCATTGTAATGAAGCATAAGGCATAGACATGCCACTTGGAAATACATATAATTTTTTATGTAATGAGTCTGGGAAGTTGAGGAAAACCTCTCAAGGCTTTCAAAACTTTCTCTTCTGTGTTCAAGAAATAGATATGAAGACATGAATCAAGTTACTTTCATTCCTAAGGCTTCAGTCATCTCATCTGTGGAAATCAGGCACTTGGCTTCCACGATCTCTAAAGTCTATCTAACTCCACTATGCTGTCATTCTAACTCTTGAAATTTTTGGTAACCACAGAACATTCTAATGAAGAAACAGCATATTGTCCCTTATTACCTTAGGGGAAGCCCTTGTTCACTGACAGATTGCCATGGCTGATTGCCGCTGCTCTTCACTCCAATGTTATTATGGATATAGGGCTTTATTTATTTATGGTAGAGTTGTAGGAAAACATAACATCTCTATGAACATTTCACTATTTTGCTAAAATATTCTGGAATTATAGGCTCTGATAAATAATGTTAATATTAATCTTATTATAATGTAATAGCATATTTTATGAGCTTAAATTCAAAAGTATCCCAAGTGACTTTGTAAAAGGAATTCTATGTGAATATATGTGTGTGTGTATGTGTGTGTGTGCGTGCGTGCGCATGCATGTGTGGGCGTGTGAAGTTTTGCAGCAGCAATAGAAGTTGTGATGATATCTCAAATAAATTCAGTGACTTTAATATTCTTCCCTTTTAATCCAGAGTAAAGTATTGTGGTCTGACTGATCTCTTTGATTTATAAATCTGAAAAAACTTCTCTTTGCTTAAGGGGTTCAAATTACCTTAGTATAAAATGCAAACTTCTTAACATAAAATAAAGTACACCTCAGTACCAGAATTCTGTTAGCCTGTGTAAGCTTTAGGTCCACTGTTTCTCTACCTGATACAATCTGAAATCCAGCCATTCTGACCTACTTTCGAATGCCTGAATTTTCTATTTTCTTTCCAGTGTTAAGCCTTTCCAGTGTCTCTCTCCTTTGACAGAAGTACACTTCCCTTGCCTCCTTGCCCGCAAACTCCTTTTCATTCAGGTGTCAGCTAGACACATTTGACTTTCAGTGAGTGGGTTATAATCCTTTCATGATATCAGTTCTACATCTGAGCACAAAGATAGACCTAAGATTTTAATTGATTAGTTAACTAATTCATATTTAATGAGCATCTACTACTACTGTGTAAAAACGTCACAAGGAAACATAAATATGAACAAGATATAAACCCTTGTTTAAAATAGAAATGTGGAAAACACAGACTTATTAATAGTATAGAATATCACATGCGAAATCCAAGTGCTATGAAGGTTTAGAATAGAGGGAGTTACATTTTGTTGAATTTAGAGAGCAATTTATGTGGATGTTACCATATTCAAAGTTTGCAAGCTGTATTTGCCCTAAAGACCTTTAGCTCTGAAAGGTACCTCTCAGGCTGCTCTTGGGTGATTTGGCCAAATATCAAGTGAGCAGGTCTTGGATCCCCAGATTCCAGTTCAGATGGAGCAGCTCCACTGTATTCTGGGGCTTAAATTTTGAAAACCACTGTGTTTCGACTGCAATAATGGTATATTATGACACTAATGGATATTCTCCAGGTGTTTTTCACTATCAAGAAAATTGATGTATAACAAACGTATCCCCTTGAAGTGGCACTTATTTCCCCAGTCACTGACATGAAACAGTGATTCATCAATTCGTGGCCTTAAGTGATACTGAGGTAACTCAAGACACTATACACTTGTCAGGTGCATTCATTTTCTTCTATTAGTATTTATCAGAAATTACATATAACATCGTGATGTTTAAGAACAGCTTAGTACCCTATGTTAATTGCAAACATGTCAATATTTTGTAGCAGGAATTCTGGGTTTTGAAAGCAAGAGAAAAGGACATTTCCCTTAAGAACGACAAATTCCTGAAATACCTGTGGAAGAAAAATGACATCTTAACTACAGTACGACTGACCCATGAACTCCACAGGTTTGAACTGTGCAGCTCTACATACATACAGCTTATTTTTCGACTAAATGCCATTTGGAAATACAATCTTCTCAGGATGCAAAATTTGCATATTCAGAGGGCATACTTTTTGTAAATGTGTGTTTTGTAGGGCTGACTGCTGGGCTTGAGTATGTGCAGATTTGGTCATACCTGGGGGTTCTGTAACCAGTCCCCCACGTGTACCAAGGGACTGTATTTTCTTCACTTGAATATGTGTCATAGTACATGATTTAAACTACTTTCAATTTCTGTCTTAATCCTGTTTTGAACTAAACTAAGTATGCTTCTCTAGGATTCAAGTGTTCACTGTATGAGGTAAATTAACTCTTCCAGTGCTCTAGGGTAGCAATTAATGCCCCAGAGGAGGTAAATTGCTAAATGGTACCCCACAGCTTTCGGAAGACTGATTCTGTGTCGAATGGTTATGTTCCTCTCTGGTGGAGAGTAGATTACTCCCAGTGGTTCTTTATAGGTCAGGATCCATTTTCAAGTGGGAAATTAGATTTCATCTGATTGGCAAGCTAAAGCTTCTGAGGTGTGTCATACAATAGTCACGATTAGCCTATTGAAGACATAAATGTCGGTTATGGAAGCTCAAAAAGACAGTAAATAAATATGAAGGCATGAAACAAAATATTGGGCAGTACTGCATATTTGAAGTTTTGTAAGCAAGTGAGATTTGTATTTTATCATGAGCTGGAATTTTATATCTTTACTTAGAAGCATAGACTATTAGTGGTACTCCACAAACACCACAAATAGTATTCATTCCTCTCTTCATTTATTAAAAAATATATAAATAGATATATAGACATGCAGAAAACTTTTACTCTCGCCTCCTCTTTATGCATGGTTTTGTGTGTATTGCTTGAATACTCTCACTGATTTTAAAACACAGTGCTTTTTCTATGGATCTTACTCTTTGGAAATTTTACTTTATTTTGAAATAAAAACTACTTTACTATATGTTATTTGCTCATAATGTACAAATAGTTTTGAGTGCCTATTAAGTATGATGCACTACACGGTGAAAACAAAGCCTGGAATCCTGACTTCTTGAGCTTTACATTCTAACGAGAAAAACGAAAACAAAGCTACACACATAAATTATTACATTGTGAAAAGTGCAAGGAGGAAAACAGGTAAGGTATGAGGTCCAAGGTAGACAGCACCTGGGGTCAGGGAGGTGGGAAGCAGCCACAGATGAAGTCGCCATTGAGCACCTCATTCATAAGAAGACACGCTTCATCCCGAAGAGTGTGAAGGAGCAGCCTGTGAATGGCAGAGTGGGGTCAAGTGATTAAGTGCAAAATCCCTTGAGGCAAGAAATATGTTTTCATATCTGAGGAACTTCAAAAATACCCATGTGACTAGAACAAGCTGGGTGGTATGAGTTCAGATGGAGGGAAAGTTGGTGTCAGGTCATGTAAGGCCTTGTAAGCTAAAAATAAAGAAGCTGAATTCTATTCTAAGTCTAGTGGAGGAAGGGTTTTAGGTAGGGGAGTGACACAAACTGAATTATAGCAAAAATAGCAATGATATTAAATATTCACACAGCACTTTTTTTTTTTTTTTTTTTTTTTGAGACGGAGTCTCGCTCTGTTGCCAGACTGGAGTGCAGTGGCACGATCTCGGCTCACTGTAACCCCCGCCTCCCGGGTTCAAGAGATTCTCCTGCCTCAGCCTCCCAAGTAGCTGGGACTACAGGCGTGTGCCACCACGCCCAGCTAATTTTTGTATTTTTAGTAGAGATGGGGTTTCACCATGTTGGCCAGGATAGTGTCGATCTCTTGACCTCATGATCCGCCTGCCTCGACCTCCCAAAGTGCTGGGATTACAGGTGTGAGCCACCGCGCCTGGCCCACATAACACCTATTTATACCAGAGAGTAGCAATGGTATTAAATATTTACATAGCACTTATAATAGGCCAGGCATTTTTCTAAGGAATCAACATGTACTAATTTTTTCTAATAATCTTATGACATAGAACTAAAGCACAGAGAGATTAGATGACTTCCGTAAAATTGTGGAGCTAGGATGTTGCTGAACCAGGATTCAAGGCTGGGCAGTCACTTACCTGTGTGGTAGCTAGTGTTCTATGAATCTGTCTCTATCGTCTATCTAACTTCTGTATTTCCAATCTATTTACATCAATAATTTAACTGTTAAAGGTTGTGCATAAGCACCATAAAATGGCACTTGAGTTCATGGGAACAGATTATATTTTTCAGAGAAATCATTGTTAGAACACCCAGGACTGAGCTCTAAGTGACTCTAACAGTAGAGACTGGGTAGAATGATGAAACTGTCAAAAGAAATTAAAATTAGTAACCCAGTAATAAGAGGAAACTCAGGAGGAAGAGGTGGCGAGGAAGAGGTGGCTGACATAGGGGAGAGTCCTAAGACAAAATCAGAGGTCAATGCTGCGGAGAGTTGAACCAAATGACACGAGAATATTTGCTAGATTACATTGTGGGATGTGTCCATGACCCTGAGAAGGGTTTTCATGAAGTAGGAAGTTGACAGACAGGATCAAGGGTGGATGAGAGAGAATGCTGACTTAGAACAGGGAGGCAGCTCTTTTGAATTTGGTGTTGTGATAAAAGAGAAAAACAGCTGGAGAAGAATATTGGGTCGAGGGAGAACAGGGAGCCACTGGGGATGCCGAAGAGAAAATGATAATGAAAATGTTGGCTATGTAGACCTTCTTGAAGGGACAAAGCAAGAGAGAATTCAAAGAATAAATGGAAGGTTCAGCCTTTGATGGAAGAGGGACATTCTTTGATCATCATACAAGAGAAAAAAAGTTGCTTGCAGGGTTGATAAAGGATGGAAAAGGGCGAATCATGAGTAAGATCTAATACCGTTTGTAAGGAACCACACTCTATGCTAAATGTTTTACATATGTTATTTCAAGTAATTCTTTCAAAATTTTAAATCATTATTATTTTTTAAATTTTTAATTAACAGGCAGTGGATCTTAGGCTCAGAAGAATTAAGTGATTTGCCCCCAACTGCAAATCCACTAATTACCAGAGCTGAAAAATTAAGGCAATCAGCCTCACTCCAAAGCGTGATCAGAGAGCTAAAAATTTACTTAGTTATTGACCAGTCAATTTGAAGCCCGGAGAACTAAGGCTGACTTACAGAGTATATGCAACTCACTGCTGACAGAGTTTCGTTTAGAATGCAGTTCTCTTCACTCCTACTCTAGTATTCTTTTCACTGTACTTATCTATTTTTTTCAATTGCTTTAGAGGCAGTATACATTTTAAAGTAAAAATATATGAGTATTAATTATAAACTTTATTCACTGAAAATGTAGTGGTAATTAAGGGAGGAAACTGTAATGATTAAAATTATAAGAATCAAATATAATTGGTTTTCAAGAGAGAAAAAAATAAGTTAAAGGACTCCGTATGACTACTATAAATTCTCCTAGTGAGAACACCAAGTATATACAATTAGTTTAAAAAAAGAATTTTCCAAGTTCTTTATTAACTTTTAATCAGAATGCAAAGATAATTAGACACAGCCTGTTTATGTATGGAACAATACAATGAAGGACAGTGTTCTGCTTTTTGGAAGACACATACACTACAGGAACCTTTGAACATGCAATTCAGAGGAAGTTTAATCCTTCTGTTAACAAATCTGATTAAAAATAGCAGTGGCAATATTTCAAAAGTTACATGTGTGTGTTTGTTAAATATTTCTTCCCAATGTAATCGTTTTTTAATCTTCAATTTTTTTCTTATAAATGGTTGTCAAATTTACAAGCCCTTACTATAAAATCCCAGGAGAACTTTTAAATTCCATAAGAAAACTGTATGGTTTTTATTCAGTCTTATTATTTATTGTATACTTTCACTCTAATTATGTAAATGTGGTATCTTGCAGAATTTTTGTTTGTTTTCTTTCTTTTATCCAACTGCCTCCAATGCACCACTTCATATGCATGTCTTTTACTCTAGCCATTGTGTGTTATCATAATCATGTCTACCCAGAGTTCAAATGGCTTAATACAGGTGTCACCTCACAGCACCTCTGCTCAGATCCTGCAGACTTTGCCTCTCTCTAAGGACCCTCAGCAGGGCCCACAGGATTGAGCCCCTGTTCCTCAAAATGGTGGCCAAATTAATAATAAAACTTGTTTTGGTTTCCCTTTTTCCTTTTCATTCCCTCATTCTTCACACATGCTCTCCAGGATGGCAAACTCCAATGAACTAAGCACTAAAACACTTATAGTAATTAAATTTCTACCTGGAGAAGCATAAAGGACAGATACATGTGTCTTTACTTTTCATATCTAAGTGACAAAATGAATCTTACCTTATCAAAACATTCACAGACACACACACAGACTTTTATGTCAGTGTTTTACAACTACTTGTCTAGGTTTGTGATTTTATAAAACAAATGTTTTAGATTAGTTAAAATATTAGAATTTAACTCATTATGCACAAATGAAAAATGTGAACTATAATATGGCAATGAGTCAGTTGTGTTTTCTTTAAATTAATCACGTGGTCAAATGAAATTCACAAAAGAGCCTGGGGCAAATATTTTTTGATATCTGCCATTAGATATGAAAACATGTCTATTAACTTAATAAGCCAGAAATAAAGGGGCTGCTTCCACTGGAAGTGAAAATGAGAGTAAGTGTGCAAAGTAACTGAAGTTAAACCAGTGGTACTATTCCTAATTGCAGTCACACTAAATGGAAGAATTCTTATGGTCTACATCAATGCTATACATTAAAACGTGTATTGGCAATAATAGTGTCTATAATAATGGGAGTATCCTTATTTTTACTTCAATTTTCCTCTCATCATATAATTTGCTGTGTCAGACTCAGGTGAAATAAAGAGGGATGTATATATGGATATAGATAGATATGTATAGATATATATACACATAGATATTTGCATACTGATGGTGATTTTTGTGCATGAAAAAGTGATAATGTGTTTTCTACTAGATTTAATCATTTTCTCAAAATTCTGTGACATAGTGAGAATTTAGACCTGAGAGTTTTTTCTTAAAATAATTTTTTTTATCCGTTAGTCTAGAATTTTTTAAATGCCAGAATTATAAATTCATTTTGAGTTTTTGGGATGTATTTCTGATAATAACATTTTTCTAATCAAGTATAAGTTATTAGAGTATTAAATACTTTAATAAGTATACGTTATTAAAAACCATTTATCCGGACAAGGCACGTCAATTGCTTTGAATCTGCAGGGAAGAAACCGTGTGTCACATTACTCTTCAGACAACAATCATAAGAAATAAACCTACAAACACCAAACTTCAAAAAAAAAATCCTGCACAAAAAGTATTTTTGAAATCAGATGATGGGCCCAAGAAGACCAAAGGGATTTAGGATATGTGGTCAAAGTTGTTCTTTGATGTGTGTTTGTGTATTCAGCTTGTCCATCCATCAAGGGCTCCACCTGTCTTGGAGATATTGTCCATCATTTATTTATGTGCAGAGAGACTAAAGTCCGAACTGATCTTCATTTCAGTCATGCACTGAATATAAGAATTGTGGAAAACATTTTGGAG
This sequence comes from Homo sapiens, assembly GCF_000001405.40. NCBI lineage: Eukaryota > Metazoa > Chordata > Mammalia > Primates > Hominidae > Homo > Homo sapiens. Next base: position 146,366,777 of record NC_000007.14, read on the forward strand.
CTAAGATACACCCTTTTTTTCTGAAAAGAGAAGTTGTACTTCACAGGCATTTTGGAGTCTTCCAGCTCAGATTTACTTTTGGAAAATGACATAAATTTCATAGATAATCCCCTGATCCATCTTTAGACAGACCTCAACATTTTGTCAGGTCAAATTATGAAACAGAATCTTACATAAGTTTTCTCAATCATATCTTTCCTTGAAAGACCATAGTTAATTTCAAAATAGACAGTATATGAAAATAGCTGCCTTGAGAAATATCAGTTAAACTCCAGCATTGTATGAGAACCAATGAACAAACAACATTCTCATCTCTGCCAAAGTTTTCAAGGAGAGTGCATGATTTCATCCTTTAGCCATGGTGATTCATTGTTGATGACTAATATCATGGATGCTCACATTTATGGAAAGTACTGTATTGACACACATTGTACTACCTGCTTTATACACATCGCCTAATTTAATCCTCATAAAAATACCATGGGGTAATTATTATCAAATATATTTTAGGTTAAGTAACCTACTCACTTATCTTGTAAGCGGCAGAGCAAATGCAGTTATACATTTCATTCTATGCCTGCATGATTCAGAAAAATAAAACAAAAACATGTAAGCCTTTGGTGTACTTATATATCAAAAACCAATTTCTTTAATATAAGAGTTTAAAAAGCTGTACATAATACTACTGTAGATGAAACAAAGTGTAATGGAAGACAGATTGAAAGGAAATTTGTTACTATTAGGATGCTTGCAATCAAATAATGGGGATAAAACAAGCACATACATTCCTCATCTCTGTATAGACTTAACATTTTACAGAGTCCTTTGAGAGACTTTAATTTTATTGTATCAAATTTTTCATGTCTAAGTTATCTATTCCTTTCAGTCTATTCTGTATGTAACTCAATTGCCTTTTTGCCTTTGCTAACACAGAAATCCATTAAAATTTTTAAATTAATGGACATTTTAATTACATCTTCTTCCTTAGTACTAATAAAAATTTATATACTATGTATATGAATATGCATCTAGATGACTATTTCAATATCAATATATGAGGAGATAAAATGAATTTTCCACAAACTATGATTCTGTGTCATCTAAACATTAGCTTGCACAGGCCTTTTAAAGAAAGCAGAGTGAGGACTCCCTGGCCAGTGTTCTCTACCATCTCTTCTGCCTACCTTCTTTTCTCTCATGGAAGTAAGAAAAGAATCCATTTCATCAAAGGTTGAACATTCCACTTCATCCCTGAATTCTCTCTTGCTTTGAGTTCTTAGGTACATCTATATTAGATATCACTTTCTCCTCTGCATCCCCAATGCCCTTTTCCCTCCTCAGCATACCTGATCCTCTGTCCTTGCTGACCTTTGTATGTGTGTGTTTTCTCCCTTGATGACATATCCCTCTTCAGCTATTGCTCTATTTATATTCAGAATCCCAGGCAAGCAACATAAATAGATGTCTCCAAGGAGTAAGTGATTTAATTAGCTTGAAGTATTATATATATTTTCACACACACAGACATAAACATATATATGTATGTATGCATATAAAACAAATAAGATAAATAACTGGAAAATATATGCAATGAAGTCAGTGAATTAGCAGATGAGATAAACATCCCAGATTGGTATGGTATTGTACGGTACGGTGTGGTATGGTATGGTTTGGTACCACAAGGTCTAGTGTTTAGAGCTGGCTCTGCCAGTCACTATCCCTTTGATACTGATCAAATCATACAAAATCAGTTTCTTCATCCATAATAAAGCCTTCCCTTGTTACTCAGAGTTGCTGTTCCAGTCAAAAATAAAATGTTAATTTATGATACAGACCTTGATAAGCTGTATGAACCTTACATGATACTAATGTAGTAAGATGCACCACGGTTCATTCAGATAAGTGTCCCAGTGAGTCCTCAGTTTTCACAAAGTCATTTCCTATCCCCAGTTTTGTTTATTTGTGCACCTCTGCATTTACCTAGAACAAGAATTGTTATATTCTAAGTAATTGCCAAGAAGTATGGTAACAAATTCACTACTACTTGATTCTTCAGTGGAGAAAATTATATACATATATATATATATATAGATGCTTGCCTAAATGATATGCCATTCTTCCATACTTTTAAATACTGTAACTTGTGTTATTGAATTAAGCCAGCCAGTCAAAAGCTTGAAATTAAACATAGTATTTTCCTATGAAATATATTTTTTAACATTATAAAATAAAATTTGGAATAAAAGCATTATGTATATATATATATATATATATACATATATATATATACTCATAACTCTTCATTCATTTTTGTGAATCAGTCTCATTCGTAGTTTTATTGTACTTCCAAATCTTCATTTTTCTTTGGATCATTTTCCTTTGCCAGCATTACGTGTGTGTATGTGTGTGTATGTGTGTTTTAAAAGGGCCATAAGAGGAAAACAGCAAGAAGTCTGTCTCCTAACTTTGAAACCTAAATTTTAGTTTTCTTTCACACAGGAAGTCATCTTGTGGATCTAATAATATTATGAAGTTATTCTCTTTTTGATGGACATTTAGGAATGTTTTGATGTTTCGTACAATAATTCAAGTTGCAAGAAATAAGCACACACATTTTGCAAGTACATCTATGGGATATGTTCTAAAAAATTAAAGTGCATTCTTTGTCCCTTAACCTATGATACGGGCATTCTTTATTTTGATAGATGCTGCAGAATTGTCTTCTAATAAGTCATAGGAATTTACGTTTTCAGTTAAAATGTATAACAGTTCTTGTTATATAAAATGTATAACAGAAAGGACTTTTGATTTCTATCCATCTGAATGATGAAAAATAGTAAGTTATTTATTAAATTATTATTTACCTTCACATATGTATAGTGGAACACTGAGCATATGTTTAAAAGCTACTTGAGTTTTTAAAATCTGTAATCTGTGCTTTACTCATTTTCTTTATTGGCTGTTGGTTATTTTTTACTGATTTTTGATGCCCCTATCTTGTTAAGAAAATAATATTTTTATAATATATCACATTTATCACAAGTTACTGTTTATCTTTGAGTTTTCTTATTGAATTTTGACATACACAAATGGCTCATATTTACTCTTTTTATCAGCAGTGTCTTTGTTAGTTCCTGGATTTGGGATATGCTTAGAAAAGTTTATCCTAAACAAAGACTTGTGTACTTTTAATTTATTGTCATGTTTAAATCGTTGCTAAATCTGGAATTTATTCTGGAGTAAGAAGTGAAGTAGAGTTCTAACTTTACTTTGATTTTGTTTTGTTCTTATTGTTGTTTTTCTTCCAGATTTGTTATCTAGTTGTATAAAAACCAATGATTAAAAAAAAAAAGTTTTTTCTTGCTGGGCAAGGTGGCTTACGACTGTAATCCCAGCACTTTTTGGGAGGCCGGGGCAGGTGGATCACTTGAGGTCAGGAGTTCAAGACAAGCCTGGCCAATAGGTGAAACCCCATCTCTACTTTAAAAAAAAAAAAAAAAAAAAAAAAAAAAATTAGCCGGCGTGACAGCATGTGCCTGTAATCCCAGCTACTTGGGAGGCTGATGCAAGAGATTCGTTTGTACCCAGCATGCGGAGGTTGCAGTGAGCCGAAATTATGCCGCTGCACTCCAGCCTGGGGGACAGAGCGAGACTCCTTTTCAAAAAAGAGAAAAAGGAAAAAAAAAACATTTTTCCTTAATGATTTTCACTGTCAAAATTATTATTTATTAATTAAATATGTGTGCATTTTACAAGATGTCGAGACTTTGTATCATTTGTTTGTCTATTCAGACACCAGCACCAAACTGTGAATTAATATAGCCTTAACATATGCTGAAGCATTTGGTAGAACTAGTCGCCACTCATTAATCTTTTTTTCTTTTGAATACTAAATTTTTATGTAAATTTTAATATCAGCGTGCCTTGTTCCAAAGGAAACCACAAAATAATAAAGACAAAGACAAATGAAAGAACTCCCCATTATTTGTATGGCAAATGTGTGTACTTATAGAATAATTTGGTGATTTATATTTGTTATGTTTATAATATGGATCCTTATCCAAAACGTGCAAAAGCCCATTTTTATATGTACCTTAATAAAGTTTTAAGATTTCTTTGTGATCTATCAAATTTATTGTTAATTTAAAAGCTTGATAGAGCTATACTATAAATTGTATTTCCTTAATTATGTTGCAATAGTAAATGTTGTTTGTATATGATAGCTAAGAATTTTTAAAATTTTAATTTTATATTAAGCATCTAAGATGAATTATTCTAGAAGATGTAATAATGATTTTTTTCTCCTCTTCAATTTTCTATATAGCTAATCATACCATAATTATCATTATAATTTTATAATTCTGCTCCATCCATTTTCTGGTGTGCATCTGCTATTTCATCTTTTTTGCCTATGGACTACCCTTGCAAAATGTTAAATAATGGTGATAGGAGCCTCAATAATGAGGCTTTTGCTACTTTAACAACATACAGTGTTAAAATATAACTCTCTTGTTCCATGTGTATATTTACATATCTATCCTTTTAAACTTATGTAAGTTATTTTGCAATATAATATATGCCAGTATTAGTTTTTTTTTTTTTTTTTTTTTGAGATGGAGTCTCGCTCTGTTGCCCAGGCTGGAGTGCAGTGGCATGATCTCCGCTCACTGCAAGCTCCGCCTCCCGGGTTCATGCCATTCTCCTGCCTCAGCCTCCCGAGTAGCTGGGACTACAGGTACCCGCCACCGCGCCAGCTAATTTTTTTATTTTTTTTGTATTTTTAGTAGAAACGGGGTTTCACCATGGTCTCGATCTCCTGACCTTGTGATCCGCCCACCTCGGCCTCCCAAAGGCCAGTATTAGTTCTTTTGTGTCATTTAAAAATATTTTGCCAGCTGGGCGTGGTGGCTCATGGCTGTAATCGCAGCACTGTGGTAGGCCGAGGTGGGCGGATTACCCTCTGAGGTCAGGAGTTTGAGACCAGCCTGGCCAACATGGTGAAACCCCGTCTCTACTTTAAAAAAATGCAAAAATTAGCTGTGCATAGTGGCACATGCCTGTAATCCAAGCTACTCGTGAGGCTGAGGCGGGAGAATTGCTTGAACCTGGGATGGGGAGGTTGCAGTAAGCCAAGATCGCGCCACTGCACTCCAGCCTGGGCGACAGAGTGAAACTCCATCTCAAAAAAAAAAAAAGAAAAAATTGCATATATAAATTTTTAAAAATATGTTATCGTTTTAATTAGAGGAGTCAGAGAGAAATAAAGGTAATTGTAAAGAAGACCCTATATTTACAAAATAGGACAATGAAGAGGATATTAGTTGGGGACAGAATGAGTGGAAAGAACAGATGTTAAAATCTATCTTAATTAAGAAGCACACTTAAAGGTCCATTTATAACGCTCTCAGTACTCATTTTTACCCTGGCCATATCTTTATCTTGAGTAACTAATGAAGTAGAATACGACCTATGCAGTTATGCTAAAGAAGTTTCGCGAATTCCTAATTTCTTTTCAGCCAATGCCATAGAATGGCTTATATGTATTATAAATGGTTTTCAGAGTAGCAGATTTTCTAACACTTAAATGGACACAAAAAGATAACAAACCAAAAAGAGATAGACAGATAAAACACTTGAACCATTTCATACAAAATTTCTCTGAGATTTGTCTACTTTTTAATTTATTTGATTACCTATATTACCATTCCTCCATTTACATGAACAAATAAAAGTTTATTGAAAAGTTCACCACATGTTTTAAAAGCAACTGAAACCAATTTTAATTTCTAAGAAGTAATGTTATTTTCATGTTCCCAAATGATCACTTCAAAGAGGCGAGTAAGAGGCGAGTAAGAAGGAATATAAGCTCTATTGTTAATAAACCTAGACGTACCCTAAATGAAGACCAGGAGTGAGTGAAGGTTGGTAATTTACTTAGTAGAGTTGAGGAACATCTACTCTAGGATTCTCCACAGGAGTTCAGCTCAAATGATCATTTGAAAAATGCTAAGGATGCGAAGAGAGAGAAGGCACCAAAAAGAAGGCAATTGGAAAGCAATGGAGGTACAGAAAAACTCTTTTCCCTCATGTTTGTATAAGAGACAATAGAACTTTGGGTTCTCACCACAAACCTTGTTCATTCAGATGACTACCCATCTTCCAGCTGTCTATGAGACAGATCACATATTACCTGAAAAAATCGTGTGAGGAGCTCTGGAGAAAGGCATGTGATAATAAGAAGGGTGAAACTAGTAGAGAAAATTAAAACATTAAGGGAAAGTCAGCATGCTGAATGGTAAGATTATCCACTTCGCTGTACTTCAGAAACATGGCAGACATTGAAAAATCCTTCTCAGGGCAAATAGATCCACCTTGGAGAAAAGACATTTAACTGCAGACATTTGGGGATCTTCCACAAACATCTAAGTAACTAACTAACGTTTACAACCATGAAACCGTGAAGTGGACACGATTCTCTTCAGTATCACAGAGTCTCTATTTAGCTATTTGGTGCCTCGCCTTAAGCCAGAAACAAGACTTCTAAGTATCTCCAGGCATTTGAGGAAACCTTCAGACATATAAGGAGAGACAGTAACTATACACAGAAAAATAAAAGGAACTTAACACATACACACACACACACACACACACACACACTTAGGCATGAGGTCAAAGCATCAAAGGAAGCAAAGTGAGAGAAGATTTGATGTCTTTATGAAAGCAGAATTTTCTTTTTTAACAAATATTAGAAATATGTTGAAAAAAATGGAGGCAATCTCCCATAAAATACACCAGAAAGATAAAAGGATGGAGTATATGAAGCAGTATAAACTCAAAGCGTCCAAAATCCTAGAATTAAGATTCCTGGAAGAATAAAGGAAAAAATAAAATGATGGTAAAAAATTGCCATAAATATAACAGAGAAAATATTCCCAAGACTGACAGACATCAGTCTCCAGACATAAAACATAATTGAGAAATTTTATAGAATTGGGGTACATACGGAAGATCCACAATGGCTTCCAGAAATAAAAGGTCATATACACGTTATCTGGAATTGTATCAGAAACACCATTCTGAAAATTCGAAGTAACTGGATGAAATCTTTCAAAAAGTTGAAGAAAAATAGTTTTTAATCACATTCCTAAACAGGTTTGAGAATGTTTTAAAACTTTCAATCATGTAGTTTTTCAAAATGTGTGTGTATGTACTTTTTCTGGTCCAAGGATATATTTCATTTAAACAGGGGTGTCAACCAAGAAAGAGGAAGGTATATGAAATAGTTGAAGTTGTTGCCTTTGGGAAGCAAAATAGACAAAAAAGATAATGGTTACAGAACTAGGGTTGGCTTTGTTTTTTTGTTTACGTTTTTAATCAAATTTGGCTTTTAAAGTTGTATATGTGATTATGAAAAAAAAAGTGGCTTTAAATGTTCTAATTCAAAAGTAAGTTAATTAAAAATATCTAAAATCACAAATGATAAAGAGCTTCCAAATTTAAAGCATTTATGAAGTGCACAGATTTTACCAGAAATTCACTCACAAATCTTAGCAATCTCGATAGTCATAGAAATATTTAATGTCTTCTCACTAAATGTGTTGTATATCCTTGCTGTTAAAAGATCAGTTATCCTTATACTTACATAAATATGCTACAAAAGCTAAGAAAAACGGGATGACTAGAAAGATATTCACAAGAGGCCACATTATCATTAAAAATTCACTTTAGCTGTGAGGAAGGATTTAAGGAAAGAGCCTGTTCTTAGTAGGAGGCCTTTGATGTAGCTGAATAAGTGTGTAACTGATGTGAGTGGAACCTTTTTAATTGACACTGACAATGAAAGCAAATCTTCTGGGCTGCTCATCAGAGTCAGAGGGGATATGGGAAATTAAATATTGTGTTCTAGCTTTTTCTAAAGCCTATAAAGATAATCAAACAAGAGGCATCTTTTAAAATCTATTTGTGAGTTGATGCCATTCATACGGATTAAAATAAATAGTACTTGAATATATGTGGTTTTGGTTTATTTTAAGCGTCTTTTCAACAATTTTATGATTTTGTAAATGGAATTTACAACTAAGTAAGTGAATGTGCAACTACAGAATTTGTTTAAAATCTGATGAAGTATTATCAGATATTTACGCTGATATGCTAGTTTAAAAATTCTCATATGCTAGTTTATATATTTCCCTGAAGAAAATATATTAAAGTGTGATTCAGATATTATTTCAACTGCTGATAGAACCACAAAGAAACACATTACATATTGCCTTTGAAAGATACACTGGAAAATTTATTTTTAAAACTTCACTTGTGTTCACAAAAACAAAACTTCTTAAAGCAATGTCATTTCCCTCATTTCACTGTTTCAATAAACAATACATTTACTAACTAGTTCATTGCTTCTCTGTTACCAGACTATCTCTCAACAATTATTTCAACCATTGCTTTTACTTTCCTGGTTGAAAAGAAATGCTTTTGCTCTTTCTCTGCACTACTGTCACCAGTCATATTGCAGGAGTATGGACTCCAGCCAGAATAAACCTCTGTGACATCTGCAGAGACATGCGGAGACCAGAGCAGACTCACCCAAACAATCACAGATAATCTTCTTCCAGCTAAAACCACACACTGAGCTTCAGCACCAGTCCTGTCAGAGAAGGGATTAGTGGGTGCCTTTTGCTGTTTGCGGTGTGAATTACATTCATCTAATATGAGGCTGGATTGAATCCTAGCCTTATGGTCCTATGATGAAAGAATAATAAAAGATTGGTGGCATAAAGAATCTAACAGTTCCTATTCTCCGAATTATAATTAGTTATTACTACAGTTTATAGTTTCTTATGGCAAATTTTGTGAGATTTGAGGCATGTTTAATGAATAACTCTGATTGCTTTTAAAAAGGCAACCAAACAATGAAATAAATATTTTTCCCATTTAAGTCAGTTATTTAAACATACTTGATTTTGTAGATGTAGATTCGATTTCATCGTGTGACCCAGTGTACAACACTGAATGATATTAAGCAAGGTCTCCTGATGAGAAATTCTTATAATCTCCTATAACTTACTCTTATGTAAATTCCCTTAAACTATCCCTTCATCACTGTATGCCAGATACGTGGGAAAATCTCCCATAGGTTAAACCTTCACCTTCTCTTTGCCTTCACCCTAACAGAAAAAAAGTTTGCTGAAGAAAGTCACACAACCAGGTTGACTGGTTTTACTTTAAAATCATGAGCGTATAACTGCCACCAAATTGACACTCAGCATTGTAGGGTATCTTGCTACCTCTCCCCAGTAAGATAGGGTTCCCACTCTTTTAGTTGGCTGCTTGCCTTATGTTTCAGTAAAAACAAAACTATAAGAGCGAGCCACCATAATCTCTCCACAACCTAATTTAGAAGTTTGCTAGTACACATATCTATAGTCTTTGCTTTTTACCTCTGGATACAATGGGGAAAAAAATTGTAGCTTCTTTTTTTAAGTTTAATTGCACTTCTTGTGCTCCGAATTCCTTACTCTCTTAGAGTCTTACAGATTTAATCTATTCGTTACCTTTGTTCTTTTTCTTCACTGCTCATCTCTCTTCTAAATAATCATTCTCTTCAGAATATACAGAATACAACATGCTATAATATTTCTCATCGAAAGCAAACACATAAATAAAAAAAGAAATGTTAAAAAAAACTTTACACCATAAGGGTTTTCAGTTTCCCTCATTTTTTGGCTTTCTACCTATCAAAACTTCTTGTAAGAGTTTTCTATATTGGCTATTTTTATTTTCTGTTATTTCATCTGCATGTATTGTTATTGTTTTTTCCAGTTTATATTTTAATCAAGAAATAATTCCCAGACTTTGGTATATTTCTCATGCCCCATGACTTATCTGAACACATTGTTACGGTATAAATGCATGTGTCTCATCCAAATCTCTATTGTTGTAACCAAAGACCCAATTTGATAATATTAAGAGGTAGGGACTTTAGGGAGTGATTATGTCATGAAGGCTCCATCTGCCCTCATGAATAGTATTAAAATCCTAATTTTAGGGCTCAAGAGAACTAGCTAAGCCCTTTTGCCCTTCTGCCTTTTCCACCATGTCAGGATATAGCATTAGTCCCCTCTGGAGGCCACTGCATTCAAAGCATCATCTTAGAACCAGAGACTGGGTTCTCCCCAGACATTAAACCTGCAGGTTCCTTGATCTTGGCCTTCTCAGCCTCCAGAAATGTGAGAAAATAAATTTCCATTCTTATATAAAATATACAGCCTCCGGTATTTTGTTTTAGCAGCACAAATGGTCTCATACACACATTGGCAATGTAATGAAACTCAGAAAAACTCTAGGCTCTCCACTGAGTCTAAGTTCCATTTCATTTTGGCTTCCTCACTTCAGCTGCTTTTATTGATGTCACCAGTTGCCAAATTCAACACAGAGCAATGTGCTCTCTTTTGTACTTTGAATTATACAATACTGTGGAGGATTTTCGCCTATAAAAGTTTTTCCATCTTAGCCCAAGTGTTCCACATGCTTCTCGTTTTCTCCCATTCTTGCTTACTTGTTCTCCTCAAGGTCCTTTTCTGTTTTCTGCCGTCTACCTGCTGAGTGTCTAGGTTTAGGCTCCTTTCAATTTCTATTTGCTCTCTTACTTTAAGTACCACCTATATACTGATGACTATTAAGAATATATCTCTGACCCTGATGGCTCCCTTAATCTTTTGGGTCATATATCCAACTGCATGCTTGGCAGTTCTACTGGATTGTCTAATGAGAATCTGAAACATACTATGTCCAAGGAGTAACTCTAGACCCCTCCCAGTCACTACCGGCCACTCTCTACAGCCACTTGATCAACTTTTTATCTTGCCAACTTCTCTGTCTCAGTAAACATTATCTCTGTCTACCCAGTTGCTCAAATTAAAAGCCTGGAATAAGAGTCTTTATCTTTAATGATATATACTAATATATTTAGAGTAAACTTATATGATGTCTAAGATTTGCCTTGTAATAATTAGGGCAGGGGCTATAAAAGAAACATTCATCATGAGTTATTAATTGTTGAAGTTGGATTATGAGTAATATAACATGCAAATTCTGATTCAATAGGCCCAACGTGGGGCCTGAGATGCTGCACTTCAAACAAGCTTTGTGCTTTCAGTACCTCCTACCTCATCCACAATTCTTATGTTACTATGCTACTTATTTTCTTAATGGGAATTTCATAATACTTATCTGCACTTACTTATCTGTTATCCTTGTTAATTTTCTGCCTTTCTCCCTATAAGGGCATGCATTGTATATGTCTTACTTATCGCCACATCAGACCAGCTCAGTGCTTGGAGAGTAGGTGCTTTATAAATATTTATAACAATGTTATGGAGGGCAATACAGGAAATAATAACAGGTGAACAATAGGTGTAGATGTTAGTGCAGTGCCATGAAACTGAATTTTGTAATCTTGGTTGTGAGATTACAAATGATATTTGAGTTTCACTCTCAAAATTCTGGATTAATTGGCTTGAAATGTTGCCTTTTGCAGAGCTTCCCAGGTTAATTCTAATGTGCCAGCAAAGTTAAGAACCACTGCCTTAGATCATGACGATGATGATGATGATGGTGATGATGATGATGATGATGACAATGACGACAACAAACCTACCATCCACTTTGCTCTTTGCTTGGAGCTATTTCAAGTACTTTATGTGCATTACCTTATATTATTCTTATAAGAATCCTATGAAGTAGATACTGCTATGGTTATGTTAGAACTGAGGAAATTGAGATGTAGAAATGGTATATAATTTCCTTAAGATCAACCAATTTATACATCATGAAGCCAGCATTTAACCACTATTTAAACCAAGGCAATCCGAGTCCATACCCTTAGCCATTGACTTAAGATGATGGCATACATGTTACAAGCACTGGGAAACAAAATTGTGTGTATTTTTATTTCTAACATATCACTCATCTAAACAATGTGAAACACAATACTCAAATATGGCAAATGAAGGAGTAAACTTTCTTGTTTTCCCTAAAATGACGACTTTGGGACTACTTATACATTTGCTGAAGCAAAGTAATCATTTTAGGTCCCAAAGCTATCATTTTAGAGAAATCAAGAAAGCAGAGAGACAGAGATAAAAATACAAGGACCATCATGAATTATCAATAACTCAAGAATTACTGTGCTTGGTTTGAACAACTAGAGCAACAGACATGAGCCCTGCTCTTCGCAGAGATTGTTCTGGTCTTCTCTGGCTCTCCTTTGCCTGCATCCCACAAGGCACAGTGTGTGTGGGGCCTAGGAGACTTGCCTATCTTGAGCCTGTGCCTCTACACACCTCTTTTAAACCAATGCTCTTAGTACCCAGAACCTTGGGATTTTCTGCAGAATGGGTGCCTCTTTCCTGGGTATGTTTTCTCAGTGAAGAGTAAAGGTAATTGTTTGAGAGGAGGGTGAAATTGTAATTTGGACCAATTAACTGGGGACTAATTTGTGTGTGTGTTTCAGAGGCTTATTTGGCATATGTATTTGAGGGATGTTATCAGGGAGGAAATTGGGGTACAGACTTTGGACATCTACTTGCATTCTCACCCTAAAGGTGCATCTGCGGTCAAATTCCAATTCCAGAGATAAGGTCAAGGAGTTAATCTTAAGAAAGTAAAGGGTAAATCTTGAACTGAAGATGAGACTCTAGAAATACTCTGTTATCTTAGGTATTTGACCAATGGCAACTTCTTCCCTATTCCATTCTCAGACTCCTTGAGGAATTTGGCAATAGGTAACGCTACTCATGTTAAGTTGCTATAAGATAGAAATGGGGCTTCCATTGTTCACTCTTCCTGTGTTAGGAGAACCAATATTGCAGTTTGTCATCTTGTGGACATTACATTCTCACCAAAGAAGCCTCCTTTGCCTCCTCCAACTCTGTTTGACCTAGAGATTGACAAAGGAATCTGCTTAGGATCACTTGGGATTCTTCTTTCTATAGGCATGTGGGACGATAATTTGGGTCACGTCCTGAGATTTTAAATAAATTTCAAAAGTGCAATGAGGAGTCAGCTTTGTAAAAGAAAAAAAAAGACACTTCCATAACAGAATTTTTTTGTAGCTTTCAAATTTAGCTAAGCATTTGTTTCCTACTGAATAATCAACACTTACAGAGCCTGAAGTTATAAATGTAAGCTGTTTTAAAATTATGTACAGACTTTCTGCAATTATTTTTTCTAGAACAAGAAAGTGTATTCTCTTTCCTTTTCAGGTAACTTAAAAAGAGCTGAATATGTTGAACTTAATGTGCTTTATGAGAATGCTGACTTCTTAAATGAAAATAAAAAATATTAATTTTCTGCTTAGGAAATGTTGAGAACAATCAGTCTCATAATGATTTTGCATTTTAACTGAGCATATCCCTGTATACTGCAAAAAATACACTCAAATTGCCCATAGCTACCATGAAAGGTAATGATGCAGTACACTTAATTACTGTTTAGCAGTGCTTTTTTATTTGAGTATTTTGAAATATTAGTAAAAGCGTTATATCTCATATTTTTATGAAGGACTTCAATAAAAATGTGGTAATGGAGATCGGTTAAATAAGAATTTCAAAACTAGAAGTGATTTTTTTTCTCTAAAAGTAACTGATGTCGTCTTTTTAGAAAAGAGAAGAACAAAATTACCATGGAAAGCATTTCTGGTTTTGTCTCTTCATTATTCTTGGCACAATTACCAAAGATGTTTTGAAGATCTTGGCCATCATAGTAACTGATCTTATCTTTAACCATCATAAAAAATTTCTGGTGTATTAAATGTACCAAAATATTTTAAAATATTTTTTCAGTTATTTGTTTTGCATTTCCCATTACTCTACCTATGTATACCATGTTGAGAAACAGGGACAAATTATTCTTTGTTTGTATCATTTCTTACTGTATTTACACATAAGTACATATGTTACTAACTTCAAAGAAAAAAAATATTTCTTGCTTCTTATGCACGTTCTTTTTTTTTTTTTTTTTTTTTTTTTTTTTTTTTGAGACGGAGTCTCGCTGTCGCCCAGGCTGGAGTGCAGTGGCGCAATCTCGGCTCACTGCAGGCTCCGCCCCCTGGGGTTCACGCCATTCTCCTGCCTCAGCCTCCCGAGTAGCTGGGACTACAGGCGCCCGCCACCTCGCCCGGCTAATTTTTTGTATTTTTAGTAGAGACAGGGTTTCACCGTGTTAGCCAGGATGGTCTCGATCTCCTGACCTCGTGATCCGCCCGCCTCGGCCTCCCAAAGTGCTGGGATTACAGGCGTGAGCCACCGCGCCCGGCCTGCACGTTCTTATATACTCACCTCCCACAATGACTCTGGGCTTGACCATGTTTCTTTGGCCCATGAGATATCAGCGAACATGTCACAAGCAGAGACTCAATGCACTTTGGCACATTGGGACATGCTTTTTTAATCATTGACCTGAGATTGCTACATAGGAAATATCAAATCTATTAGGCTTTTGTTCACAAATTTGAGAACAAATCTATAAGGATCTTATTGAAGAATTGCCATAGTAGAGTTACAATATTAATCAAAAATATATTAACTTCTTTTTTAAATTGGATGAGACCATGTATCCTAGAGAAAGACTACTAACTTTAGAATTCTGTCTCCTCTTTCCAGATATGAGACCTTGGGGAGGTCATTTAAACTCTTTGTGCCTGCTTCTTCATTTGTAAAATGGTGATAATAACAGTACCTACCTTGTAAGGTTTTTATGGGGAACTAAATGAGTTAATATTTTACAGTGCTTAAAATATTATAGGGGGTACATAAATATAATAGTTGTCAAATAAACAGAGAAGGATTAGACATCGGGGTTTTATGAGGACAAGCTCTTTGTAAAAGTTCAAAGACCTATATCAGTTACATAGAGAGTAAAGTACCAGAAAGAAGAGCTAAAGATAAGGGCTTATAAGATTCATTTTATTTTGGGAAGAAATCTCAGGGACAGAAGTAAAGGACTAGAGAGACAAAGAAGGAGGGAAACACAAATACAATCGTATTTTTTTACTGCTGGTCCGCTGGGCTTGATCTTGCCTAGGGCTCTGTAGACTGCGACTTAGAACCATTTGTCCCAGGGAAAATCAGAAGGCAGCGTTTATCCATGAGCTCTCATCCTTCCCTGATTAAGGTTTGCCCCCATATGATAATAACTTCTTTGGAACTTGAATGTTGTTAATAAAGGAGTTGTGGTTGAGTTTCTTCAGGTTGCTGTTTTGGTAGCATTAAAGAAAGCCTATTGAAAATATCAAGATATTTTTCTGGAAAGCTTGAGCAAGGTATTGTCAGGTTAAACCTGTTGGAAACTTATGACAAAGTAATGCATGAAATAAAGGGTAGACTGAAAGAATATGAGGCAAGAACTAAGAAGATGCAATGGGGGAACAAGTAGATGTCACCTAGACTTCCAGACGTTTGCATCTTAACATTGCAGAAGCAGGTGCAATCGAACAGAAAAACAAGAAAGAATAGTGCATAGAAAAAGGAAGATGGTAACCTACTTGAAGAGATGAAAGGAATAAAATAATTTTCATGATAGGCAGGAAGAAGAGTAATTGGGGAAAGCATTGATTTGCTGAATGTTTTCCTGTGCTATTTCATTTTTATCTAATTTTTGATAGAGAAGTTTGCTTGAAAACAAGGTAATTTCTGAGGTTTTCTGAAAACTATGTCAATGTTCATTAGGCTACACCAAACTTACTATTAATAAAATTGCATAATTACTTTATAAAGTACATATAATTACTTTTCAGGTAGCTCCATCTAGCAATTTAACAAATAAAATAGATAAGTAACATTTAAAAATTTTGACACCAACCTGACCATGGAGATGCATAGAATTCTGTAAATAGGATAATTCACTTAATAAGCCAGAGGTGATAATCCAATCTCCATATCAGGATCTGCTTAAACAAATAAAGTTAGCAGTCCTCATTAGTGCTGTGAACTGTACTTAGATGCTTTTAGAACGGTGCTGCCATGAGTTATGACTAACCGAGAAAAATGTATTCTATAGCCAAATGAAATCAGAAAAATTATTTTTAAAAAATATCAAACCATAGATGAAGAATTTGAAACGACTACATAAAACCTTTGAAAATTAACTCCCAATGTAACCTATGAGATTATTTTTAGTTAAAAAATATGATTTTCCCCTTCACTGATAATTTTCTCCAAAAATCTCTTTCAACCTTTTGAAATACCATTATAGCTGTAAAGCCTTCTGGCATAGCTGGCATTTTCATTGAACTCATTGATTAATTTAGTATCATGGAAACAATGTGAATCTGTGTGAAATAGCTACAGATTGTGAGAGAAGTTGGTGTACTTTATTCTGAAATGTAAAAATAATATGCTGCACAAGCATGCTGATTTTAAGGAAGCCATCAGTATCATAGACTGATTAATTCTGTGTTGCTTTGACTGCTAAAATGTGCTCTTCCAATCAATTTCAATCCAATTAATAAAAATTATAAACTGGATTTGAATATCTATTTAACATTAGGTCTTCCATGCAGTTTCACATACTGTATATCACTTCACAAGCAGTATGGCATACTGGAAAGGTCCTCAAAATGGGAGTCAGGTAGCTGGTTTTTAACGGCATTTCTGATGAAAATGATCTGGTGGAAAATTTGGGATACCTTTCTGCATTTACGTATTATTTATTTCATAAAAAATTCAGCTACATGATTTTAAATACCCCATACATTCTAAATTGTAGGATATAATTTAATATAGATTCACTTTTTGGTGTGACCTAGGTGAATCTGATCTTTCAAATTACTAGTTTCAAACTTTACACTTACACATTTCCCACTGCTAATTGGTAGGAAATTAACTTGGTATATTTCTTATTTCTTCTGTTTTATTAGTTTTGTTTTTATAATTTTGATTTCCTTTGATAAATTCTGACCATAGACATTTTGAGTAAAGGCACAATATATCATTTGGACAATAGTCTTGTTTTCATTTGGATGTTAACTATCACTATGAAAGTGGAGATGCCTTTTTTGGAAGAGTTATCATATCTAGAGTCAGTATCTCTGGCTTTTTTATGTGTTAGCCTCAGCAAGGTTTTTGATAGCATAATAAGTATCAATGAATTAGGTTAATTTTTTCATAGAGAATGGAAAAATCTTACCCTCAACCTGTTTGTTAGCTGTAATGTAAAAGAGTGTCACTGATTCGATATTGAGCTTTGGCTCATGCTCAGATGGCTTAGACAGATGGGCCATACAAGACTCTGGGCATCCAAAGTCTCCTGCGGAGAAAGGAACAAAAAAGAAATTTCTGAAATTCACTGAGCATCTTAGAAAATACCCAAAGAAATATATCAGAAAGTAAAAGTAAAATAATGCAAAATGTGGTACATAAAGTGAATTGTGTGCTCCTCTTCCCAGAAAAATTAGCAAAGTTAATGCCATTCTAAACCCAATCATATTGTTAGAACTTTCGTTGTACAGAAATTATTTCTGCTTATTGACATATGAAGATCAGTGGAGCACAAGACTCCTAGCTTGAAACATTTGATCAAGCAGTGAAGATATCCAGCATATCATAAAATGAGAATCATAAAACCATGCTGAAGGAGTTTGTGAGTTTAGCCTTTTCTGAGTCATCAAAGACAAATACTTATTAATAGAATTGTATGTTATAATTTATTATATGAAATTTCAGATTTTATTTTGAGCTACCATATCCTCTGTAAGTATTAAATTTATTAGTAGTTAAATATTTGAAAATAAACCAAAAGGTATTTGTTCTCCATGTCTTTTTGAATCAAGTATCATTGTGTAATCTTATGTAGAGAAAGAGTACTTTGTAATTGATCAGTTTATTAATAAGCACAATGTTTCTTACAAGAGACAGCCAAGACTAATGGTTAAAAAAAAATGTACATACACACATACTCCTCAGTGAAGAAACAGAATTGGGTTTAAAGTTGGGACTATGCCTTTTGTCTTCTGAAAGGCCTTTTGACTCCTTGACTGTGTTAGTCTTTTTTCGATGTAATTATTACTTCCCCTACCATAATGTCATCACACTTCAGTAGTTTATTTGCCTGATTGAGCATAATAATAATTGAGGGCGGTAAATGGGATGATCTGGTTCACTATTTTATCATCAGTGTTTGGAGCAAGCCAGAAACATAGTTGGTCTTCAGTATATTTGGTGAATGAATAAGTCCTTATTTGTATAGTCACTAGACTATACATTGTCAATCAAAGTGGCGCAGCATATACATGTTAAGCTGAACTCAACTTTTCACTGATCCAATTTGTGCTGCACCCTTCCATTGTATGAAATCACCATATTCCATTTTTTTTTCTACCACTAGGTTTCCTTCCAGCTCTAACATTTCTTAATTCTACTGATATAAATTATTCATAACTCCTATTGCTTGTAATCTTGTTGCTCTTCCAGGGCTAGAAAAGTCCTAAAGGGCTTGCCTAGGGATTAAAGTTAATTCCCTACAGTATTCCCACCTGTACAGAGCCATGGCATGGGTAGTGCTGCCCCAGGGGAATAATCTTGGGTTTATCTTGGTTTTAAAACTGGTAACTGAAAAAACAAAACAAAACAAAATGCAAAGAATACCCACACATCCCAATCAAGTGACATATATGAATGTTTGTTTATAATTCAGCTAAGAATAGTTAATTCACGTCATGCCTCATGATTAAGTGCAAACCATTTCAAAATATGAAACAAAACAAAAGATAATTTAAAGTCCAGCCAAGTAATCTCTCTTGTACTTGAATTTGGATGAGATTTATTTGATCTTCTCACCTAAATTCCATTTATAATTAGGGATACTCTTGCTTTTCTGCTGTCTCCTCACTGGAGAACCAAATGGCTGGAGATTGACTGATTACTGATCCCTTGGGGTTTCAGAGAAGCTGCTTTCTCATAATATCAGAGTTGAAATAGTTTTCATTCCGTTGCAAAGATATATGTTTTAAAATGCTTACAGTAATGGGTTGTTAACTCTATCCTTCCCTGGATGAGGTTTCTATAGTAAGCTGTCATTGTATTACAACTGTTTTAAAGGATAGATAAAGTAAACCACCTTCTAGGTAGTAAATGGCAAACAATGTGTTTCCATTATTGAATTTTTATTTTCATAAGCATATCACATACAAGTAGTTTAAAATCAGATAGTACTAAAACAGGCTTATAATGAAAAATAGCAGATTACTGGCCTCATTCCCTGCTGGCCTTATCCCCAACAGGACAACTTGCTGTCCTGCTCCCTGGGTCAATAGCTTTCACTTTCTTAGCTGTTTCTTCTGGTGTTTACTCTTATATTCATAAATAAAATATATTTACTAGTATTTCTGAATAAGTATATTTTATACATGTATTTATTTTCTATCCTCCAACACCCAAACTCCCATGCTCATCCCTCCTCCCCTCCATTTGTCCCATTATAGAATATATCAAAAGTTTGAATTAAAGCAATGTTCAATGCTCACATTATTTTGGGTACATAGCTACTGTTTAAAATTAAATCACTTGGAATACTGTAACTTCACATTATGTTTTATGTTTTATTTGTATTTGTATTAATTTATTTTTTTGAAACAGAGTCTAGCTCTGTCGCCCAGGCTGGAGGACAGTGGCATGATCTTGGCTCACTGAAACCTCTGCCTCCTGGGCTCAAGTGATTCTCCTACCTCAGCCTCCCGAGTAGCTGGGATTACAGGCGCCTGCCACCATGCCTGGCTAATTTTGGTGTTTCAGTAGAGACGGGGTTTCACCATGTTGGAGACTGGTCTTGAACTCCTGATCTCACGTTATCCACCCACCTTGGCCTCCCAAAGTGTTGGGATTACAGGCGTGAGCCACCGTGCCTGGTCCACATTCTGTTTCATATAACTTGTTATTGTCTTTATTGTAAATAATTGCCTCATTTTCATATTGGCTATATTTTCTCTGTATCATTAGTTCTTTTCCAAAAATTTTAGCAGTATCATATAATGCTTCAGAGAATGATATAATTCATGAAATCTGTAATCTAGCATGTTATTTCCTCTTTGAAATAGTGTGCCCCTCAAATACCTTGACATTTTCCTTTAAGGTTGTGGTTTGAGATAGAGGGAAGACTGGACTCAAGTTCTTGTTTGCTTTCAAGAACTCACCAAGTGAAGGGAGAATGCCCCTAAAATAGAGAAGCCAAAGACACTCTCACCCAAAACAAACCCCAAATCACAGTCCCCACCCCTACCCTATAAAAAGCACTCCCAAGTCAAGCCTCGTTTAGGAAAACAGAATTTGAGGAAAACATCTTTGAAGCTGTAATTTACCAGCCCTTGATCTTTGAGGAAGATGAGAAGTGAATAATGCCCATGTGTTTTTCTTACTTTCCAAGTGAGGTCTGGGGCTTTTGGGCTTTAACTTTTCTGGATTTAACTTCCAGAGCACCTGCACTGGAGGTCATAGTTAGAGCAGAAACTATTCAACCCAAAACCACCAGAGAGAACAAGAGCAGACATTCAAGATCCTTGTCAGCTGCCTCCTGCCCCAGGTGACTCACAGAAACAAGCTTAGAACAGCCTACTCCCCTTCAGCCCTAGAGGTGTCTCAGTTTATGTATTCATTATTCCCTTTCATTTGTTTCTTCTCTACTTCTTCCGGATGGGTAGACCTTGGAAGAGGATGCCAGTCTTCCTAGTACTTTCTCATTTTGGTAGGACAAATGGTCAGTTTCATGAAGTAATATGTTTACTCTTGCTTTCTTATTTCATAAAGAGATGATTCCTTGAGACTTAGCTCATGTGTTCAAAAATAGACTGGTTGTGCCCAAACCCTACTGCATAGTAGATGGGACTTAATATTTCCATCAGGCTGTGCACCTTCTTTTCCACCTTGTTCTTTGGCATCTATGTTTCTGGCTGTTTTATTCCTCATTTTGGTGGAGAAATGAGGCCTCAACCTCCTGGGCTGAGGCAGGAGCCTCCACCAGCTTCCTAAGAAAGGGTGCACCCAGGAGACAAAATTCTGAGACTTGTATGTCAAAGAATTCCTTTAGTTTACCTTTCCTCTCGATAAATCTAGACATTTAGGGAAAAATAATTTTTCTTCAGGATGCTAAAGGTATTTATTTTACAGTTTTCTGTCATCTTATTTTTAAGATGACCTATTCTGAGTTCTGATTTTTTTATATCATGTGTGTGCATGAGTGTGTGTGTGTGTGTGTGTATTCTTTATTTGAATTTTCTAAAAGCTTTTGGTATCTTCTCTTGATATGTTTTAGTTTCTTTTTATTTTTTTTTTAATTTTTAACATTTATTTTATATTTTTTCTTCTCGGGAATGCTTTTGGCCGGGCATGAGGTCTCACGTTGGTAATCCTCGCACTTTGAGACGCTGAGGCAGGAGGATCCCTTGAGCCCAGGAGTTTGAGACCAGCCTGGGCAACATGGCAAAACCCTGTTTCTACAAAAAGAAATGCAAAAAATTAGCTAGGCATGGTGGTGCATGCCTGTAGTTCCAGCTACAAGGGAGTATGAGGTGGGAGGATCACCTGAGCCCGGGAGGTTGAGGCTGCAGCGAGCCATGACTGTGCCACTGTACTCCAGCCTGGGTGACAGAGTGAGATTCTATCTTTAAAAAAATAATATTTGTGGGTATATAGTAGGTGTATATATTTATGGGGTACATGAGATATTTTGATGCAGGGGTACATGAGATATTTTGATGCAGGCATGCAATGTGGATAAGCACATCATGGGGAATGGGGGATCCATCCCCTCAGGCATTTATCCTTTGAGTTACAAACAACCCAATCACACTCTGTAAGTTATTTAAAAATGTACATTTAGGCTATTATTGAGTATAGTCACCCTATTGTGCTATCAAATAGTAGGTCTTATTCATTCTTCCTATTATTTTTTTGTACCTGTTAACCATCTCTAACTCCTCACCAGCCCCCCACTACCCTTTTCAGCATCTGGTAACCTTCCTTCTACTCTCTATGTCCATGGGTTCAATTGTTTTGATTTTTAGATCTCACAAATAAGCAAGAATGTGTGATGTTTGTCTTTCTGTGCCTGGCTTGATTGTAGATCTTGC
The DNA here is from genome assembly GCF_000001405.40 of Homo sapiens. Taxonomy (NCBI): domain Eukaryota; kingdom Metazoa; phylum Chordata; class Mammalia; order Primates; family Hominidae; genus Homo; species Homo sapiens. Next base: position 146,388,900 of record NC_000007.14, read on the forward strand.
TGTGGCTCCTTTCAATCTGTTGTCAGAAGAAGATGCAGAGACAAGCATCTAGAGAGGAAAGAAAAGTCACATAGCATACAGGGGATCCTGACTTCAGAAGAACTGGCTTTCCAAACAAATTAATAGCACAAGTGTTGAAAGGCCAAAACAAAACAAAAAAACTATAAAATTTCTAAGTTTACTCATCCTATCTGTGGTGAAATAACAGTGTCTTTGTCACGTGATTATTATATTCGCAAAAGGCTTGACTTATTTTCAGACATCAATATAGCAAAAATCAGGCACAACATTATTTTTATTATGGAGCAAATTGTAGGAAATAGTCACACACACACACACACACACACACACACACAATTTTATTCCCTATATAAACCTAAAGAGGACTGTCCTAAAGAGGACATCTGTGTTTTAGTTTTGCTTCAAAACTGAAAACTGATGTTCTTAAGTTCTGGAAAATTTTATTAATTTTTCTTCTTCTTATCTCTACCATTGTCTTAATTCTTTTTGTAATTCCTAGAATTACTTTTTCCTACTATCTTTTCTATCCTTTTTTCTGTCTTTGTCTTTTTGTTATTCTTTCTGGAAATTTTCCTCAAATTTTGTCCAATTCATATCAACTTTTATTTTTAATTTTAAATTGTATAGCTTTTATTTTAAAATAAGAGCTTTTTCTTGTTTGTTTTCTTTCCCTCCTTTTTCTATAGCAGCTGTTCTATTTTTATACATGTAACATTTTTATCATCCCTGCATTGTCTTTTCTCTGAGCCATATTTCTTTTTTTCTTTTTTCTTTTCTTTTTTCTTTTTTTTTTTTTTTGAGACAGAGTCTTACTCTGTCACTCAGGCTGGAGTGCAGTGGCAAGATCTCAGCTCACTGCAAGCTCTGCCTTCCGGGTTCTAGCAGTTCTTCCTGCCTCAGTTTGCCGAGTAGCTGGGATTACAGGTCCCCACTACCACGCCCAGCTAAATTTGTATTTTTAGTAGAGACAGGATTCCACCATGTTGGCCAGGCTGATCTCAAACTCCTGACCTCAGGTGATCCTCCCACCTTGGCCTCCCAAAGTGCTACGATTACAGATGTGAGCCATAGAGCCCAGCCCCGTATTTCTTTAGTTTTGGTCTCTGCCTTTCATATTGTATTCTGGTCTCACCCTAAACTTGCCTAATAATTTTTAGTAATTAAAAAGTAATATTTTACTTTTAGTAAATATTCCAAAAGTAATTGTGCAATATTACTTTGTTAATATTTTTAAATTTACTTCTAGTAATTAAAAAAGTAAATATTTTGCTCTTCGTAAATATGTAAATACAAAAGTAAATATTACTTTGTAAATATTTGTAAATTTACTTTTAGTAATTAAAAAAGTAAATATTTTACTTTTAGTAAATACACAAATAGTACAAGGCATTAGAAACTAGGTGCCACATTAACTGGGTGATCAAACTTAGTATCACCACTAATGGAACATATGGACATGATGGACTGTAGGATGAGACCCATTGACGACTGCAAAGTGTCACAACATAAACCGAATCTAATCAGGAGGAAAAAATCAGACAAGTTCAGATTGTGGCCAATTCTACAAAGCAACCTGCTTAAACTCTTCAAGTATGTCACTCATGAAATTAAAATATATGTATATATATACACACTATATATATATATTCTTTCATGTAATAAAATACATATATTTTCATGAAATAAAAATATATATTTTTTTCATGAAATAAAAATATATATATTTTTTCATGAAATAAATATATATATAAGTCTAGATTGTGGCAAATTCTACAAAGCGACTCACTTAAACTCTTCAAGTGTGCTATTCATGAAATAAACTAATATATATTATTATATTATTATACATATTATAATACGTATTTTAGCTGGGTGTGGTGGCTCGCGCCTGTAATCCCAGCACTTTGGGAGGCCGAGGTGGGCGGATCAAGGGGTCAAGAGATTGAGACCATCCTGGCCAACATGGTGAAACCCCATCTCTACTAAAAATACAAAAATTAGCCGGACACGGTGGCACGTGCCTGTAGTCCCAGCTACTCAGGAGGCTGAGGCAGGAGAATTGCTTGAACCTGGCAGGCAGAGATTACAGTGAGCCGAGATCGCGCCACTGCACTCCAGCCTGGCAACATAGTGAGACTCTGTCTAAAAAATATATATATTATTATATATCGTAAATATATATTATATTATATATTTAGTATATATATTTATTATATATTTTATATATATAAAATAGGCTGGGGATGTTTTATAGTTAAAAGGACATGACAAGTAAATGTGATGCCTGCTTCTTGATTGATCCTGGGACGAAGTGGCTGAGAAGCATGATCTGGGGTGAGTAACCAATAAACAAAGCAGCCTACTGTGATTCTGTTGGAAGAAAGCCTTGCTTTTTGTGCTGGAGCATCGTCAGCACTTAGATGATGTGAGCTTTTCTACAACCCAACCATCTGCTTTTTATCTTTCAAAACATCTCTCCTCATATCTTACATACTATAGCCTCCCCTGTGTGTTTTTTGTGGGTTTATATTATTCTTATTATAGTTTTATGAGATTGCCAGAGGGAGAAATAATTTATGTTCAGTATGTCTTATTAAATGGAAGTCAAATATATTTTTAAGGATGTAACTTCTTTTCTACAGCCCCAACTTTGATCTTATACATTAAGCATAAATCTAAGCTAATTCTAATTTCTAGTCAAAGGTTCAAATGACTATCAATTCACTTCAACAAAATACATACCTGTGGTATTTGGTTTTCTGTTCCCGCATTAGTTTGCTACAGATCATGGCTTCCAGCTCCATCTATTTCCCTGCAAAGAACACGGTTTTTGTTGTTGTTGTTGTTGTTGTTGTTGGCTAAATGATTAGAACCCATGGACACATACAGGAGAACAACACACACTGGGACTTTTTGGAGGATAGAGGGTAGAAGGAAGAGAGGATCAGAAAAAATAATGAACGTGTACTAGGCTTAATACCTGGGTAATGAAACAAGCTGTACAACAAAACCCCATGAAACAAGTTTACATAACAAACCTGCACTTGTACCCCCGAACTTAAAATAAAAGTTAAAGAAAAAAGAAATTCATACCAATTTAATTGCTTTTAATAAATTTTGGTGAGTAGTATTAAGAAATCATATGTATTTACATGATAATGGTTAAATGCTTGTGTGCAGGTATGTTAGAATAACCTAGAATTTAGTACTTTGGTTAAGGTCCACCTTGGAGATTGGTGTATGCCTTAAGCTTCAATTTCCCAACTTTTAAATGTCATTAATAATAATTATAAATATTTCATGGTATTTTTGAGAAATAATACATGCCAATGACTTATGACATTAATAAATTTTATGATTTCTGTAATATTATCTTCATAATGATCAATGATGTAATATCATTGAGAAGTATCAGAAAGTAGAGATGTTTCACAAACAAATAAAAAATCAAACAAAACCCAAAATTGGAATGTGCATTATAATGATGTAAAGGATAAAGAAGGATGAATCAAAATTAATTACAAATAATCCTCTAAACGTTTGACCAAATCAGAATTCATATTTCTCCTTCAGATAAAATTTCTCTTTTTCGGTTGAAAGCACAGAGAAAGAAAGTGGAAATTTCAGATGTTGGAGAAAATATTCGGAATTTATGTGACACTGGATAATACTAAATGCTCATTCTGGTAACTGCAACCTTCTTTCAATATTCCTCTTTCCTAGTAAAACCCTAAGCATCACACAAGAATATATTTTTTCTTCTGCTTTTCTCCCTGATTTTGGAACAGTTTCTTAACATTCCCACAAAAACATGGTTTGAGGTAACGACACTATCGACTGAAGAAGGAATGAGTTTGGGAAGCGTTGAGATGTGGGAAAGACTAATTGTGCCTTCATATAAAGACTCTTAGAAAATGACCTCAGGCTAGTATTTCCAATCATCTTCAAATCTTCCGTTGAAAGAAAGTGACTGCTGAGTAATCATTTGCACTCAGAGTTTTGCAAAATATTTGAGATTTAGTTAAAGAAAAGGGGAAAGAAGAATCCAGTGCTACTGACAACTGTGGTACCCAGACCAATGACAGCAAATGAGTCTGTGGGATCATCTTCACAGCCTCCGAATGACAGAGCATCAATGAAATGAAGAAAATAGTGCTTTTTGCGCTTCTATTATCTTCTAACTGATAACGTGCATACATTGTTAGTATTTTTCCACAGAATGGTTTATGTCAAATACTTAGGCTAACAGCATCTGTACTGAGAAGACTCTACTCAGGTGCTTAGAAATTTTTCTACTGAAGTGTTTTTCCAGTGACAAAGTTCTTTCATATTCTTCCCACCTGGAAACATAATGGCATATTCACAGTTTTCACCCTGAAAGTGTATTAGGTATGACATAATAGATGCCTCATTCCAGCTAAGAGTTGCTAAATAAATAAATCCACCTGGCAGTGACATTTATACTAGTTTCGGGAAATTTTTCTTTGGCAGTAGAGACCTTGATAATGCAACTTAATGTGGCCATGATGGTGTCTTGCATTGTGAGGTTAATAGGACCAATCAGTGGGGATGAATTATGGTTCACCTTTACACCATTTTATCCCTGCTTTGCTGATATAGACCTGAAACAGCCTATCTAATTCCTTTGGGAATTCTCTAATGGAGCCTCCCTAACTCAAGTTACTATAGGATGGGTAGATCCTCCACTGGAGCTGAAAGCCTCCTGTTGGGTCCTCATTTGTTTAGTTTGTTATCTCTCGATACTTGCTTAATTCTCTGGAATGTCTTCATAGATGTGGCTGGCAGGCAATGCCATTTAATCATTTTTTTTTTCCTGGTTAGCCTTATAGAAAATGTTTCTTTTTTTCTGGATGGTGAATACATAAAAATTTATTAAATATAATCATTTAAAGATAGGGTAATTTAAAAGAGGCATAAGCTTAAGCATATCTGCATGTAGCCTCCATATTTTGTTCAAAGATGTGTGTACATTCAGTGTAACATAAATTTAATATTTGTTGACTAAGAAGCAAAAATATATTGTTAACAGGTATTCTATGACACAGTTGGCCAGTCAGCAACTAGTTTTCTTCAGATCTTTTCAAAGGCTGCTTGTTGTCGCTTTATCCAAAGGAGTTGATAGATGTGTATGAAGCATTCTGGCTGACCCATGGCAATTTGTGTTTGGAAGAATGAGATTTAGAGCCAGGGTTAGTACACCATGTGGATTGCCATGGGCATTATTTAGGTGTAGATAAGCTTATCTGAAATTGCATCTGGATTACCTGACTAATCCAAAAAAGGAAAGAAAAGTAGAGACCTGCTATGGAAATAGTCATGAAACAAAGGAGCGCTAGGGGAGAGGTGGGTAACTAAATGCTAGTTTTTAAATAATGTTATATCAGACTTAAAAGATACATGGAAGATAAGACAGGCCTAAGAGTTTGCTAGCAGCTGGATCAGATTGCAAGGAAGAATCTCAGTCTATCCTTTATTACTCAAGCCAGAGCACAAGACTAGTTTCCACATTTTATAAATATAGAGTCTTTTTTGGAGACTGTGAAATTTGGATAGAATGTTTTATTTCTCATTACTGTTTACAGATTCGTTATGACCTTGGCCTGTATACACTTTCATGACAGGTTAAGTGAACAGAGGTTAAAGGAGGCAAACTGAGAGTATTTAAATAAAGTTTACTTGCTATATTTGTCTTATCTCCCCATGAATAATAAAAATATCATTTATTATATGTATTACAAAATGTTCTAAGTGCTTTATACACCTAATATTAGTATGGTTATTTCACACAAATTTTATGATGTCTGATTTCTTTTTCTTTTTATAGATTTGGAGGTACAAGTACAGTTTTGTTTCATGCATATATTGCATAATGGTGAAGTGTGGGCTTTTAGTATAACCATTCCCAGAACAGCGTACATTGTACCCACTGGGTAATTTCTCATCTCTCACCCCCTCCCACCTGTTTGCATCTCCAGTGTCTATTTTTCCACTCTCGATGATCATGTGTACACATTATTTTGCTACCACTCATAAGTGAGAGCATGTGGTATTTGACTTTATATTTTTGAGCTAGTTCACCTCAATAATGATCTCCAGTTCCATCTGTGTTGCCACAAAAGACATTATTTCTTTCTTTCTTATGGCCGAGTAATATTTCATGATCTATATACATATATACCACATTTTCTTTATCGCATCATCCACTGATGGACACATAGGTGGATTCCATATCTTTGCCATTGTGAATAGTGCTGCGGTAAACATATGAGTGCAGGTATCTTTTATAGAAACTTTTATCACCTCTATTTAACAGCTAAGGAATCTGAGGCTCAGAGCTAGTAAGTGGTGGGTGTGGGATTCAAACCCAGGGAGTCCAATGCCAGAGTCTTAACTACTTCACCAGAAGCAGAGGGAAGGGGAGCCATTTTATTATTCTTGATTTCAAATAAGCGGTAGTTTACAGTTAGTACTGCGTACACATTACATGCTCAACACATAATAGTGCTAAATAGTTTTTTTTGTTGCATCCCTATTCAGGATGGGGGTAGGTGAGCCCTCCTCTCCCAGTATTCCTCATCCTTAGAAATAGGCACTAAATAGTTCCAGATCACAGTTTAAAACTATTGCTATGGGAAATGAATTGAACAAATCATGTGCTTACCTTCAGCACTAATATTCTAAATCACCTTAGATTAATGCCAGTAAATACCAAGACAGTTAAAAAGTGCATTCGATGTAAATAACTACAATGACAAGTTCACAAATAGCAACACAACTAGGAATTCCACGTAGGAGCAGAATATAAAGTAAAATGAAATGATGATCTAGATAGACAGATGATAGATAGATAGATAGATAGATAGATAGATAGATAGATAGATAGAGGAGAGAGAGAGAGAGAGAGAGAGAGAGAGATTAGATGGACAGGTATGTAGTTTCACCTATAAGCAAAGGCAAAAATGAGTATCTCAGAAAGGCAGATTTAGGGACCACTAAGATTTTAAGTTGCATCATTCTGTAAATTGGAGATTATCACTTACTGTACTGTCACAAATTTCAGATAAGTTAACATTCCCGAATGTTCTTGGCACAGCATAAATGCTCAATATCTTCAATTATCATACTTTTTCCCCTTCATCCCTGCCCTGACACATGATAGATCATTTCTTAAAATATACTACAGCATGTATTAAATAATATTTCTACTGCTCAGTTTTCTGGGGAAAATAGTGTTTAGTTAATTTCTAGGTTTTGTTAAGAATTTACAAAATATATTTCATAAATGTGTTCTTTTCCTTTCAGAAATAAATGTATAATTTTACTCACAACATTTCAACAACTTTCCTAACTTGCATACTTCATTTTTCTAGTGTTTCATAAAAGTTCTAAATTTAATCATATGATATTTTAAAATAAGATATTAAGCAAGAAAACACAGCATCTATTGTATTTTTAAACGAATCTTATGGTTTTTATTTTATTATTTCAATTACTGTTACTAAATTATTAATTCTAGGTTAGAATTATAAAGCATTATCAAAGATACAGTAGATTGCAATTAGAGTTTACTTGATTTGGCAATTATTAAAAAATGAACATTTTTTTCTGTGTCAACAATGAAGTCAGTTAAAATGTTTTGTGGAACTAATATGCTGATAGCAATGCTGCAGAATTAAAAGTCGCATTATTATTACACAAACATTTTGCTAAAGTTTGGAAATTATTCCTTTATTGGGGTTCTGTTAGTTTTGGAGAATATTTATATACATATATATATGTGTATATATATGTATATAAATATCCTGCAAAATGTAGACCTTTCCTCTTAGATCAGTACTAGCATGCTAAATATTTTATTTTTTAAATATATATTAGGTAACTGAAACAAAGAAAAAAGGTTTTTATTTGCTTAGAGAGATAACAATAATACTTAACTTGTAAAATATTCCTTTGATACATTCATAAATAAGAAGATAAATTTTCTAATTCTTATCTGAGAAGCATAGCAATTTACTTTTTAGAAGCTTATACATTATGGCATCCTTTGATTAATGCAGTACATTTTTTCTCACAATTTATAATGGACTTCCAATAATCTTGCCTTTAAACTGTATTTGACCTCCCTTATTTTACTTTCCAACTAGAATGAAGAGATGGGCTACTAGTTGTAGTTCACTGTAGAGGCTTTATGCTATCTGAAAATTTTAGACCCAGTGGCTTTAATAACATTGTAAACTGATTCTGGGTCCATTTTCTCTTGATTGACATGTCTACTTCCACATATAATGGTAAATGCCTTGACTTTTCTGCTCCTTGTGAGTAGATTGGTTTGCAGATTTACATAAATACATTTCCCGGAGACCACATTTACCACATTTGCTCATGACAGCAATGATCCTTGGTCATTTCACATGCTGTAGTTACATGCCATTCAGGAGGCTATTGTTGATTGCCTGTCATTTCTCCTGCCTAGATGTCATTCAAAGGGTTATTTGTTATTTTAATTTATAGGAATTTGTACATTAAGTTCAATTAACCTAACAGGGCCACACAATGAGTCAGGTTCAAATGAAAGCTGCAGATATTACTTGTGAAAGTTACCATGGAAGATGATGAGGAAGGAGTTTTTATGACTGACCTGTGGAGTTAGACTTATTTGTTTTTCCAATGATCTCTACTCCTTATGTTTCCAATAGTTTAAGTGATTTTGAAATGAAGTTTTTCATAATATCTGGAAATACCCACCCCTCCAAATTTATACCCATACCAGTTTACAATACTTTAGACATGACAGTATATAAGTAGGAATAATCCATTGTTATACAAGCCCCAAAAGAGAAAGAACAAAATTTGAGGGCAGATTGGAATAGTTAAGATATTTTATGTAGAACTATGTCAATATTAATTTTGTATACCAAAATTTGACAGGCTTTTATTTATTTATTTATTTTTGACATGGTCTTGCTCTGTTGTACAGGCTGGAGTGCAGTGGTGTGATCTTGCTTCACTGCAGCCTCAAATTCTTGGGCTCAAGCGATTCTCCCACCTCAGCCTCCCCGGTAGCTGGGACTTCAGGCACACGCCACCACACCTGACTAATTTTTGCATTTTTTGTGGAGAGCGTTTCACCATGTTGCCCAGGATGGTCTTGAACTCCTGGGCTCAAGTGATCCGCCTGCCTTAGCCTTCCAAAGTGCAGAGTGCAGGGACTATAGGTGTGAGCACCTATACCCGGCCCCAAACTTTTTTTTTTTTTTTTTTTTTTAGCATATCAGTGTATTAGTTCGTTCTCCCACTGCTAATTTGTAAAGGAAAGAAGTTTAATTGACTCACACTTCCACAGGGCTAGGAAGGAATCAGGGAACTTATAATCATGGTGGAAAGGGAAACAAGCATGTCCTTCTTCACGTGGTGGCAAGAAGAAGAATGAGAGCAGAGCGAAGGGGGAAGCCCCTTATAAAACCATCAGATCTCATGAGAACTTACTATCATGCGAATAGCGTGGAGGAAATCCCTGATTACCTCCCACTGGGTCCCTCCCACAACATGTGGAGATTATGGGTACTACAATTCAATATGAGATTCGGGTGGGGACATAGCCAAACAACATCAACCGGAATCTTGTATTGCAAGTTTTTATTGAATTTTAAATCATGAAGCTAAACACTTCTTTGATAAACATCTAGAAGGTGAGAAGTAGCTCAACTCTGGAGTAAGGCTAAACTGGGTCTGAATATGTTTTATATTCTCTGGACTTTGAAATATGTCTCTTGATAATAAACTAGTTAGGTCTCTCTGTGAAAAGTCAACCCTGCTTACTCTAAAAATATATATATATTTATTTGGCCTGTAAAAGTTTAAGGCCCACCAGGGCAGGGAGAGGCTGGAAATCAATATTTTTCTTATGAATTTAAAATTTTAGAAAACCTATTTCTTTTTTAAAATACTTAATATTTAATAAAAAATATATGGATTTTTATTTTCAATCCTGTCATAATAACCTATGTAGGTAGAATTGCCTTGAACTTTCTCTTTCCTCTGTTAAATATAAATGTTTTTACTCATTTGTTTGCTGAGTTATTTTTTATAACAGAATACATTTTCTTTTTCCTTTCTTTAAGAACGTTTTGACAAATAAACATATATATTTGTGGTATACAACATTGTGTTTTAATATGTTTACATTGTAGAATGGATAAATAAAGCTAATTGTCATATGCATTACCTCACATAATTTTTGGGGGGTAATGAGAACACTTTCTTAGCAATTTTCAAATACACATTTTATTAACTATAATTACCATGATATACAATCAATCTCTTGAACTTATTCCCATTGTCTAACTGAAATTTTGTATCTGTTGAGTAACATCTCCCCCAAACCTTGTCCCTTCCCTCCAGTCTCTGGTATGCAGCATTCTACTTTCTAATTCTGTTAGTTTGACACTTTTATGACTCCATTTATACATGAGATCATGCTGTATTTGTCTTTCTGTGCCGGACTTATTTCACCTAACATGATGATCTCCAGCTTCATCGATGTATTTGCAGATGACATAATTTACTTCTTTTTAAGTCTGAAGATTATTCCACTGTGTATATATACCACATTTTCTCCATCTGTTTATTTGTTGATGGACACTTAGGTTAATTCTAAAAGTTGCCTGTTTTAAATATGCTGATGAACATGGGGGTGCAGATATAGCTTCAACATACTGATGTCAGTTTCTTTGACTATATACCCAGAAGTGTGATTGCTGTACCATATGGTAGTTCTATTTTTAATTTTTTATGACTCCATATTGTTTACTGTAAAGGCTGTAGTAATTTATATTCCTATTAACAGTGTACAGGGCTCCCCACCGCCCTTGCCACATTCTTGCAACTCTTGTTTTCCTCTTAATTTTATTATTTCTACTTCAGTTTCCTTAACTAAGAAGAGAAATAAATTTGCTTGTTGCTTATTTTGGGATGATCCCACAATTATTATACTAATTCTGTTAGTATAATAATTATAACACTTATGGTGTCTTTCTGGGAAAACTGAACTAGGTGGTTAACTGCAGTTCTGGGAAAGTCTAGAAGAAAAAGTCCAGTTTTGGTAAGAGAACCCTCTTGCCTTTTTACCTTCCCTGGGCTAGGTATGGTTCCTGAGGCAAACCTCCCTCCCTCCCTCCATCCCTGCCTCCTACCATAGCGAACCAACAATTTCCTCAGTCTGAACTGTTCCATCATGCTATGAGTGACTCTTAACTATTCATGGAAACTTCTAGAAGTAAAATCCCGAATTTGTGCAATGAGTTAACTGGAGAAAGCTATTCTAGTAAAAAAAAAAAATATGAAAAAAAGGAGGCTGGGAGACAGCAAAACTTCTTTGAATTACCATTTTCTTCCCTGGTAGGTATTGTTCTCGACTTTGTTTCTGCTATAGTAAAATATATCCAGGTGGAGTAACTAGACAGGCATGAGGACTTGATGGAAAAGAAAGCATGGATAGTCATCACATTCAAGTTGTTTTAGTTATCTCTTATAAGCAAAATAATTGAGAAGTAAGGCTGTCACATAACTAGACAGTGAAAGTTAGTGAGAGAAGGAACAGGCTGTGATCTTTGGAAAGGAGATTTCTATTTTTGCAGAACTGCTGAGAATAGTGAGTAAAAGTCTGCATAAGACATACTGAGTGAAAGTTTGGGGTTGTTTTCTTTAGGCCCATGACATAACTAGCTTTGAATGATAAGTTAACAATGTGAACATCATGTGTGCATAGAATCAGCTTTTTAACTATTAGTTGTTGATTGTGCTCTGGGAAACCTTAGTGGGACACTGAAAAATGAGTTAATGTTAAATAAGGAGTTGCAGAGGCTGACAGCCTTGGAACCTTTGGGCACAGGCATCTGAATAACTTTGCAGGAATGACCTGATAATTCTTGGATTAATAAGGAAATTCTCCCTTTACAGAAGATGACGTGCAGATTATTAAAAACTGAGAATCTTTTTTGGAACCTGTGGCAAACCCAAACTCACCCAATCTATGTCATAATTTTAGTGACTTGGTATTGTTTGATTGTAATGACTAACAAGCAAACCAGAAAGTCTTCCAGAACACATTTAAGAAGTTACGAAAAGGGCTATAGATGAAGAACAAAACAGCACTATTTAAATTTCATTGCACACCTAGGACTACAAAAAATACTACTTTGTAGTTTTCTTGAGTCTATATAACTTTCCTAATGTTTTCTATACATTCTCCCTGCCGCTCAGCTAACAGCTAGAAATCACTTTGTAGAATAAAAGGGCTGAGGATTGTATTTATTTCCAAGACAGTAGGGCCTACAGAGGCTAAAAATCAGCATCTCATTTTTCAGTCGATATGGCCAGAGACTAGGCAAGTAACGGAGCTGGTGGCAGAGAAAAAAATAAAAAATAAAAAATAAGTAGATTAGGGAGAAATGGAAAAGAACAAAGGCAGCTAGGGCAGGTCAATGAACTTGACAGAGAGGAGGCTTCTATGTTCCCTCATTTTTTCCCCGGCATAATATTTTGTGATTTGACATTTATTTGATACCCCATCAATCTGTTCCTTGGAACACTTGTACTGTAGTTGATTTTGTAGAGTAGCACATGCTTATTTTTCACATATATAAATTGTGTGTTCAAAGAGTATCTTTATGGTTTACTTTCTGATTAATAGGCTCTGAGGATATTTTGCTTATCCTGGTGAATAATTTACATCTGCCTCGTGTGTTTTGCATTTTCCTTTGGCTTCATTTTCATTCCATGAAATTTTGCAAGATGCGTTCTCTCCTTTAAGTGGATGTGAATTTCTACTCAGTGAAAAGCAATCTAGACAAAACAGTGTAATTTATTAGCTATTTTTCTTACAAATCTCCTACAACAAAACTTTATTTTATCACTGCCAAGTAACATCTCCAGTCTGTTTTATGCAAAAGAAATTTCATATCCTGATTGGTCACAGTGTAAAGTTGGTATTTAAGAAATATATTTCTCATATTTATAGCTATAATGTAAAAAGCATAAAATGTAAAATTTGAAAATGTGTTTTATTTTCAACTAAGGGCATGAAATAAATATAACTTTTATAAGTATTATATGTAGAGATGAATTTTCCTCAGAAGTTGAAGGTCTTCCATAAGTATGTTCATATATAATGATCTTTTATACAATTTACATTGCGCAACTGTACCACTTATATTCTTAATAGATGAGTGTGCGTTCATTTCATGCTGTTAATATCTGCAATAAACCTTCAAATTACCAACTATTTTATTGATACTGTGTTTTGTAGAGCACCATCAACGTGTGAATTCTTAACCTGTGCTTCAGCTGTTTTCTATGTATTTGAGCTAAAGTACTATCTACACTTTGCATGTCAATTTTTAAGTCTATATTTTTCTCAATACAAAAGAGATCAGAGACAATCTCTCCTGCTTGGTTCAGGGACCAGAAACACAGTAGGTTCTATCCAGAGTCATCAATAGCCATTGTTCTTTTTATTGTTCTAAAATAAAATGTAAAACCATAAGGATAGCTTAATCATGCTACAGACGAACTTATGTTACAAAAGAAATTATTTACAGTAACACTCTAATTATATCTACCTGCCAAAAAGGAAGTAAGCAAATAATTATAACACAAAGTGATAAGTCTTTAAGTACAGTATACTGTGAGATATTGGAATTGTTTTTGCAGAATTTGAAAAAGTTCCTTAGATATAACTAGGTTTCTATTTATTAGCCTATATAAACACAAAAATAAGAGAAATAAATGTAAGTGGTAAAATAATTAGACTTGGTGACTACATCAAAAAGTTTTACTTAAAACTTTGGCAGATTTAATAATAAATTTCAGTGAAGTTTTTATAGATATGAATCTTCCGGTTGAATTTTTGACTTTGAATAACTTAATCAAATGCGGCTCTGGATTGCATAATTATAGTTTACACTTGCATAATTGCATTTTTATACTTTTGCCTTATTTGAAGTATTAAAGTAATTATTTATTATTTGTTACACTATACATTGAAATTAATGACCTAGTCACACACTCACTTATATATATTTGTATGTCTTATGGAAGTTATTCATACAAAATGTTGAGATTTTAATGAATTCTAATTGATACTCAAACTTGTCATATTCACTCTATATGCATTTCATAATTTTTGGTAAGGGTGTGGCTATAGAGGTTAGCCAATTCACATCAATTTTTAATTATATACTTTTTCAAAAACTATAATCTTCTCAGTGTTACTAATTATGAAATTCATAAAATAATATCCATGAAATGACTTGGGTGATAATCCAGTAATTATCAATAGTCACTTGCTATCATATTCGGATGACATAATTATAACTTAGACTAACAAAGTTTGGGTCATTTGATGAATGGGTGGCTTCCTTTTATTTTATTACAATTATGAGACTTGTTAATAATGTATAGAATTTGTATAATATTAGGTTTAAATTTCTTTTCTGCTGCGATTTTGTTCGTTTGTAATAAAACTATGAAACACACTATTTGAGATAATGTGAATTCGCCATTTTTATTTTTGATCAGTTTCTAATTAATACATTTACTTTTGGGGGGAAAAGTTGATCAATAATGAGCTGAAATATTGCCTTTAGCCCTAATAAAGTATATTTTGGAAAACAAATGTTACCTTAAAATGACAATAACAACAACAGCAACACAAACCTTCACATAATAAGAGCCCAAATGAGATAGTTTAAATCTAGCTTAAGCTCTACTTAATAAACAACAATAATGTATAACACTATTGGACAAAACAAAATATTAAAAACCTCTCCAAACATAGGTCTAGAACAGAGACTAGCACTGTCTTCACTGGGATAGTCATGAATTTCCAGTTTCGGTGTACTGAGATTCAGTCAGAACTTGGACTTAAAAAACAAAGACACTTTGGGAGGCCGAGGCGGGCGGATCACGAGGTCAGGAGATCGAGACCATCCCGGCTAAAACGGCGAAACCCCGTCTCTACTAAAAATACAAAAAATTAGCCGGGCGTAGTGGCGGGCGCCTGTAGTCCCAGCTACTTGGGAGGCTGAGGCAGGAGAATGGCGTGAACCCGGGAGGCGGAGCTTGCAGTGAGCCGAGATCCCGCCACTGCACTCCAGCCTGGGCGACAGAGCGAGACTCCGTCTCAAAAAAAAAAAAAAAAAACAAAGAACTTGGCCTCTTGGTTTTAGTGACTTGGAAATAAGAAGATGAAAAGATGAATATTCACTGAAGAACTCTTTCTTTCTCACTCTTTTCTGCATCAGTGTTTTACAAGTAGTTGTGGAGTGAGTTATGCTGAAGCAGATGGGGACGCAGAGAAGCCAGTAGCAGATGGGCACATCCAGGTTACCCTGCATGGTTGGGCCGCAAACCATGGCCTGGGGTGGAATGGAGAAATCTGTACACATCCTTTTCACTTGTGCGTTTTAGCAGGTGCAGCATCCGCAGCAACATCCTTAATGCTTTCTCCCCAGTTCAAGCTTAGTTTCTCCCTTAGACTACTGTAATAACTTCCTAACTGATTTCTCCATCTCATTTTTTTCCTCCTCCAATCCAATTTCAAATTATCAGTCAGGGTGATCATTTTGAAGTGCAAATCAACTTGCCACAATAAGTTATCCATTGGTCTGAGAATAAAAACCATTCTGGAGTAACTACAAAGGCCTGCAGGATCTGGAACCTGAACGCCTGTGGAGCCTCATCTTTACTGCTCAGCCATCCCTTCCTTGCCCCTCCCTTCTCCTTTGCATCACTCCAGCCCACTTGCCATGCTTCTTCCCTCCTCGTCCTTCTGCTGGAGTTGGCCTTGGGCTTCAAAGCCTCCCAAACTTCTCTACTTAGCTAATTTTTATTCATCCTTCACATGTCAACTCAAACTTCATTTCCTTTGAGCAGTCTTCCCCTCCGTTCCACATTAGTTCCGGTCTTCTACTGTAGCGTTCAGGATGCCCTGTACATTATCATATTTGTAATGACATATTTATCAATGATTAGGTGATATGTCTTTCTAAGTACAGAGTTACTGGCCTCTGAGCACAGGGCTTGGCACATGATCAAATTTTAGCCAGCAGAGACTTCCCTCAAGATATTTGGAATTGGAAGTAAAAAGGAAATATATTTCCCATCTGGTGCACGAAGCTGACAAGGATAAATGCAAAGTTGGAGATAAGAGAAGTGGAGATGCTCTAATGAGCCTTGTTGTTGTCCCTGAAGCTACCTGCAGCCCTGTCCTGATGGTAATTTGGGTTGTAAGTCAATAAGCATCCTACTTTCATTTTTAAGTTTGTTGACTTGGGTCTCTCTCACTGGCAAGGATAACAACCCTGACTGAAAGAATCCTTACATTATGAAACTGTAAGTTCCATAAGGGCTAGAATCTTGCCTGCTTTGCTCAGCAACGTTGATACCTAACAAAAGTTTGTTAAATGAATGCATGTTATGCAATAATAAATTCATTTTAAGTTTTCTGGTAGATATAGCCTGTCATCACACTTTCATTTGATGTGATCTGAAAATAAATTTTTCTGAGATATATAAGGGCCATTGAATTTAAAGATAACTAATATTACACGTAGGTATTATTTCTCTCTGAATTTCTAGAATTATACGTACAGAGAGAACATGATTAAGAAAACAAATACGTAACAGGTAAGACAAATTAAACTGGCTAGTGAATTTTTTGATACTCGGAAAAATCAGATTTTTAGTTTGTGTTTGAAGCAAATATTCAGAATTATCAGGACAGGTTTCTACAAGGATTTTAATCTGATTCCTTCACCAAAATCATTTTAACATTTAGCTATAAGATATACAAATCATATTTACACCTACTGTGTTAAAAAAAAGTTTAACCTTTTTAGGACAGAATGGGGCCAGTACAATCAGACTTATGTAAGAAATCCTCAAATAACCTTCTTTTGTCACGATGACAACTGGGAGCAAATAATATTTAAAGCATGAGTGAGTAGTTGGAGGAGTATTTGACAGTTTCTGTGAGGAACCATTGACTGAAAACAGTGATCAACCCACTAGATATTTTAAAGTAAATTTAAATGAGCAAATCACAATTCCTGTCACTGAGAATGACAGCACTAATTGTCAAAGTGAGGACCAGAGGTTCAGAGCTAAGTGGATGTTTAGTTATATGCTAATAGAAAAATGCTTCCTAATTAAGATATGCTTGAAAGTTCTCTCTCTGTCTTTCATCTCTATAGCCTATATTTAAATCTCCTGACTCTTCATAAATATGCAGTGGTGACCTTAGGACAGGGCACTGTTTAGCAAATATCTTTTAAAATCAGAATCCACAAATTCTATTTTTTAACAAAATGTTGTATTGCATCGTCCTCCTTAGGTTTTAAAAACATACATGCACATTTAATGATAAACCAATGATTTTAAAAGGCATGTGAACTGCTTCTCTTCAGACATGGTTGAGGATTTTTGAACATGATGCAATATATTTCTTTCTAGGACAGTTACAGAACTGGACTTTTCTTTCTTCCTGGTGTGGTTTATTAAAACAATAAATCAAAGCACGTAGAATAAGGAGCTGAGATCTTGAGAGGCTGACATGCAGAAAAGCTGAGATATTGGCAAGGCTTAATCGTTGAAGCACCCAGTCAAAGACTCAGTCAGAAGAGGAGGTGGAGGAGAACAGCCAGGAGGACAAAGGGGTTTCAGGCTTGGGCTGAACCTGGCATCACACAGAGGGGACTACACCTCCTCCTCTGGGGACTACCTTGAGTCAACCTCGCAGAACCTTTTGTATCAGAGTAAGGTATCTGAAAAACCAGAGCAGCTGCTCTAATGGTTCAGGGCTATCATCCTTAGATCTGAAGGGTCATGGCTACACATGCATAGAATATGGAAAGCAGCCAGGTGAAGGCATCTTCCACAGGCTCTCATCATTCTAGTGTGTGTTTTTCAATGCATCATTTATGTCAGAAGTGTTTGAAAAAAGCTGTTACAAAGTTAGTCCTTATTTTCATAGATCACTTTCTAAGTAAACATGGTCTAAATTATAGGATGAGAGTTTTGATCAATAGCATGCCTGTATTGGGTGCTAAAATAGTGCCTTGGGTACTTGACGGCAGAGGACATCAGTAATGTGAAGAAGGCTATAGAAAGAAGCAACAGTAGACACAGAATAAAACTGTGCTTTTCTAATTTTGTCTAAGGTTTTCGTTACAAAGAGTCAGGACAACATGAATAACTTTATTATTTCCAGGAATACCAAAATAATTGGTATTTATACTTAATTTCTAGTTGTTTTGTGTCTTGTGGAAAAAGCATGATCAGTTAAATATGGTGAAGTAATTAAAAATATGGAGATAAGTATAGTGAGAATCATCATTACATAATTTGGTAGGTGGTGTCATGCTGTTACTACTGTGGTTCCATATTGAGCAAACATTCAAGTCTCATGAAATGTACGATTTTACCAACTCAAAATATAAATATCTTAAGACTGGACACATTAAATTCACTGTTATAGTGTATTACTGTTTATAATGTGAGTTACAATCTTGTGCAATCATTTTGGTGTGCCACGGCTACGCAAGCTTTGATTGAGGAGAGAACTGTAGAGAAAACCAACATAGACAACCTCTTCCAGGAAACTTCTGGGATAGTCATCAACGCAGAAACTTCATTTGCCTCCTAATCATCTACTGCCATTTCCCCAGAAGCTCAGAAATGTGTGACTTCACATGGTCAATGAACATTGAATATACAGTTGACTCTTGAACAACCTGGCTATGAACTGCACGGTTCACTGTAATGTGGATCTTCTTCTACGTCTGCCACCACTGAGACAGCAAGACCAAGCCCTCCTCTTTCCACTCCTGCCCAGTCTACTTAATGTGAAGATGACAAGGATGAAGACCTTTATGATGATCCACTTTCACTTAATGAATATAAAATATTTTTTTCTTATTTTCTTAATAATATTTTCTTTGTTTTAGCTTATGTTATTGTAATAATGCAGTACCTCATACTTATAAAATAAAAAAATGTTAACAGACTATTATCAACAAGGCTTCTGACCAACAGTAGGCTATTAGTAGTTAAGTTTTGGGAGAGTCAAAAGTTACATTCAGATTTTCAACTGTATGGGGAGTCAGAACCACAATCCCCATTTTGTTCAAAGGTCAACCGTATCTGGAAAAAAGTCACACAAATCTTCTAAAATAGATGAATAAAAAGTTGAACCATATTAATTGCTTCAAGCAAAATTAACCATTAAAAATAAGCAATTCATTGCACTTTATAGAGACTATTAACAGAATACTTTAATAAAAATAGGACTTTTTTTCCTTGAGTTAAGGATGATTTAGTAAAATAAACTGGTTGCAAAAAATGTACACAACAAGCAGCACTTATACATTCTTTAGCACAGAAGGGACTGCCTCAGAGACCTCTTTAAATTCTTAAGGCAAATTTAAAATCTTGGCAATTTCCTCGAAGGTGAACAACTAATAGTCCTTTGTAGGGACATGGATGAAGCTGGAAACCATCATTCTCAGCAAACTGTCGCCAAGGACAAAAAACCAAACACTGCATGTTCTCACTCATAGGTGGCAATTGAACAATGAGAACACTTGGATACAGGAAGGGGAACATCACACACCAGGGCCTGTCATGGGGTGGGGGGAGGGGGGAGGGATAGCATTAGGAGATATACCTAATGTAAATGACGAGTTAATGGGTGCAGCACACCAACATGGCACATGAATACATATGTAACAAACCTGCACGTTGTGCACATGTACCCTAGAACTTCAAGTATAATAAAAAATAAATATTAGGTAAAAACTACTTAATAAGCATGGAAGCATCTATGTAGATATTTGAAATAATACACAGATATTAAAAAAAAAAGAATCAAGAAAAGAGAGGGTCCTTGCACTCATGTGGGCCTGGAATCAAATCCACACCGAATTCACATGCCTTCATTGGTCACTTTAGCTTCAGAACCCAGCCTTCTCATCTGGAGAATAGACACAATGATGACTATATATATAATAATCTCATCTAATCCTTGCAACGATCCTACAACTTAGAATATGGTAGGTGTTTAATTTATTTTTGTATTTTACTCTATATTTTCTTACCCATGATAAATAAATTATGTTGTGCATCACAACTCTACTTGGGGAATGTAAATAAATTCCATGAAGTCATTCAAGACGTCATTTTAATTTTGAGTCAGTGTTTCTTCTCCAGAAAAATCAATACAGTATTAAATATCTAAAGGTATAAGTCATTTTGCGAGGCTAATAAGATGACACCTTTTATAATTTATGATTTAAAAACCATTGCTTAAAACAAATCACTTGAAATCACCTAAAAACTAGCCAATCGCTTAAAAAGAAAACAAATTTTAAATAGAGTTTTAGTAGCAATTAAGTAATTTTTTAGTTTTAAAGATACATTAGAAATGTTTATTAGTTGGAAATGTTTATCCATATAGCACAGGATGAATAAGTGATTACATAATTCAAGAAGTAAAGCAGAAAACATTCAACCAATTAGAATTTTTGAACATCTTGTCCTTTAAATATCAGATATGTCAATATGATAAATAAATGATATCTAAAACATCTATCACAAAAACTGGGTCATGATGAGAATATTTATATGTTAAATTTGTTAGCTTTTCTAATTTTCTCACCTTCCCAAGGGTAAAATCATGCTTATATTCAAGATTAATCACTGCATCCTCCTCCCCAAAGGCTTTCTACCCTTCCACTAAGATTTTTTATTCCTAATACAAAGCCAAAAACCTTTACAAAAACCACTCTTCGAAAACCACCTGGGTCAGGGTGATAGAGAAGAAATAGTAATGCACCAGAAATTACAGTTCCAAATTCTTTACATCCTTGACATTTACCACTTCAAGGTCTCAGTAGTATGAAAGCAGGGCAGTGGGGTGGATGCAATGACTTTCAAGGTCCTTCTGACTTGGTCTTTCTGTGTGTCGCCTGTGCTCTGTAATGATTACTTAGAACACCCCTTAAGTGAGAAAGTTGGGGCTGGACAGAACCTAACAATCAAGGACCTGGTATATTTGCAGTAAAGTATCTATTCCAACTCCTCTCACTGTTCTCTCTTGTCTCTACTCTGGACTTTCCCGTATTTATTTTGATGCTAATATTCGGAGTGATGTTGATGTCTCATCACGAATGCCATTCCCTAGAGCAAGCTTGGGCAAATGACTGCCTGTGAGCTAAATTCTTTCAACCTTTTATTTTTGTAAATAAAGTTTTATTGGAACCCAGCCATACCCAATTGTGTACCCTTGTCTCTGGCTGCTTTCATGCTACATGGGAAAAACTGAGTAGTTATGACAGAACCTCTATGGCCACAAAGTTTAAAATATTTACTATCTTGCTATTTACAGAAAATATTTGCTGACTTCTGCCCTACAGAAACATAAGCAAACAGCAGTAATCACTAATATCAATTAAATGGATATTATTGGAACTCTTAAGGGGCACTTTATCTATAGATATCATTTTTTTGACTTTTATTTTAAATTCAGGGGGAGACGTGCAGGCTTGTTATATAGGTAAACTTGTGTCATGGGAGTTTGTTGTACAGACTATTTCATCACCTAGGTATTAAGCCTGGTAACAGTTATTTTTCCTGATCCTGTCTTTCCTTCTACCCTCTACCCTCTGATAGACTTGAGTGTGTGTTGGACCCTTCTATGTGCCCATGTATTCTCATAAGATACTAATTTTTATCTTTGTGAAATTTTGTTTCCTTGACCAACATCTCCCCAATCCCTCCACTCCCCAGCTCCAAAAAACCACCATTCTAGCCTCTGCTTCTCTGAGTTCAACTTTTTCCGATTCCATAGATAAGTGAGATAGTGTGGTGTTTGTCTTTCTGTGCCTGGCTTACTTCACACAACATAATGTCCTTCAGGTTTATCCACGTGTTTGCAAATGACAGGATTTCCTTCTTTTAAGGCTGAAGACTATTCCATGGTATAAATACCAAATTCTCTTTCTCCATTCATCTGCTGAAAGACACTTAGGGTGATTCTATATCTAGGCTATTGTGAAAAATGCAATGAACCTGGAAATAAGTTCAAGACATTTATTATACATCACAGTGACTATAGTTAATAACAATATACTATATACTTGAAAACTGTGAATAGAGTAGATTTTTTTTTTTTTTTTTGAGATGGAGTCTTGCTCCGTTGCCCAGGCTGCAGTGCAGAGGCACGATCTTGGCTCACTACAACTTCTGCCTCCCGGGTTCAAGCGATTCTCCTGCTTCAGCCTCCTGAGTAGCTGGGATTACAGGCATGCAGCCACCACTCCTGACTAATTTTTGTGTTTTTAGTAGAGACGGGGTTTCACCATGTTGGTCAGGTTGGTCTCGAACTCCTGACCTTGTGATCTGCCAGCCTCGGCCTCCCAAAGAGCTGGGATTACAGGTGAGAGCCCCTGTGCCCGGCTAATAGAGTAGATTTTAAATGTTCTCACCACAAGAAAATATGGTAAGAAGGTGAGGTAATGTTAATTAACATTTGTTAATTAACTTGATGTAGCCATTCCACAGTCTACACATATATCAAAACATCATATTGTACGCCATAAATATGTATAATTTTATCAGGCATTTAAAAATTATTAATTTTTATTAAAACGGTTATAATAGTTCCAACCGTGTTGTGTGTAGATTCACAACCATTAGAAGTTACAAATTGCCACATATAAAGGGTGGTATAATATAAAGTCAGTTTTAAAGAGATTGGCATGGCATTTTGTACTGTATTTGAAACATGATCAACATTGTTATTTTTATTTTATTTTATTTTATTTATTTACTTATTTATTTATTTATTTATTTTATTTGAGATAGAGTCTCTCTCTGTTGCCCAGGATGGAGTGCAATGGCATGATCTCAGCTCACTACAACATCCGCCTCCCTGGTTCAAGTGATTCTCCTGCCTCAACCTCCCGAGTAGCTGGGATTAGAGGCATGCATTACCACACCCTGCTACTCTATTTTGAGTAGGGATGAGGTTTCACCATGTTGATCAGGCTGGTCTTGATCTCTTGACCTCCAGTGATCCACTCACCTTGGCCTCCCAAAGTGCTGGGATTACAGGAGTGAGCCACCGCGCCCGGCCAACATTGTTATTTTGAAATGTTTGTATGAGAATAGAACAAAGCAGCCACCTTCCCCCTGGAGCCCTGCAGGTCGGCTCCTGTTAACCAGGAGCCAGGGACGTGGCCAAACAAGTAACAAAGTCACTACACGCTTCACAGCCGCAATGCTCTTATCTGTAAATCAGACAAAATGCTTGTGTATAAATGTCTGCAAAGATGTTTCCAATAAAAGAAAGATTTGGTTTGTGGATGTGCTTTGTTATTCTTCTTATTAATTTGGGGCTAGAGACAAGAGAAGAGTCTCAGGGAAAGAAATTCCTTGTTTGAATTAATTTAGTCAAATCAGGTCAGAGAATCCAGAACAAGACTTAGCTGATGTTTCTTCAGGGCACATATGTGACTGCCTTTCCACTGTGAATAATATCTACTCAGGCCATGTATTCATTCTACCACTTGTGAGATTTATGTAGCATTCTTGCCTCCATAGTGCTAAAGATGCCTGGTAGGGAAGTTTAAAGTTACTGCAGCAATTTCTTTTCGGTGCATATTAAAGTTGTGGTGCCTTATCTATGAGGCGGAGCTGTAAGTCGCTGTGATATCTTGCTTCGAATTAATTCACTAGTTACATTCAACGGACATAGAAGTAGAGTTTGGCAGTTTAGAAAGCTGGCAAATTTTCTGTGGCTCCTCAAACATTACTGTAAAATTTGAAAGCTTTAATATGAAGGGTTTCAGTTTAGTCACAGAGTAAACCTAAAATCCTGGGATGACTGCTTCCCTTTTATCTGTGCCTCATGAAAATGGATACATTTTTTTATACCTCATCAGATAGACTTTTAAATTCCAATCGTATGAAAATGAAGACCCCCCTCAGTTAGAGTAGACCACAAAATGTGGCTGATTGTCGGTGAATCAGGCTATTACAGTTACACAAACTGCGTTGCAGAGCAAAAAACAAAACAATTGTTACTGTAAGTAATGAAAAAGCAGCAAAATGCAGCCACATAATGGTAAAGACATGAGACTTCTCTAGTATTTTAAATGAAAAAGCACTTGACTAGCTGAGCTTGGTGCTTAACACATGAGAAAGATGCAGGAAAGAAAATGATCAAAAGGCATGGTCCAGCCTCATGAGAGAAGAGGGTCTGCATGTCGTGAGGGCCACTTTCTCAATCCTGTTTGGATCTTATTTCACGGCTTCAGGTTGGACCTTCCACTTGCAACTTGCTGTGGAGGTGCTCTTCTGCAAGTCCCAAGATCCCAAAAAGGAAATACAGGAGTTTCGGTGTTTTTGAGCAAAACAAAGTAAAAAGCTGAGTAAGGAAACACTATACATAGCTGGAAATAGGTTATTTTCTATTTGCAGACAAAGAACAATATAAACAAAGCTCGAGATCATCTGGGCAGGTTGAAAATAGCTTCAGTCTCAAAACAGTTACACATCTGATCTGATTTCATCACATTTTAATTTTTCTTCCTCTGCCTCATCTTCCTCGTTCTCCTTTTCTTCCTTTTACTTGTTCTTCTTCTTCCTTATCTCTCTCTTCCTGTTTCTCTCTTTCTCCTGCTCCTCCTTCTCATACTTTTCTGCATTTGTACTGCATGTGAGATTTCAACTACTCAAATGAATTACACTCATAATTTTCCCGAGTGGGGCAGAGAGAAGGGGGACTTTCAAAATAAGCCTTTAAAAGGAAAGCACTTTTTACCTATATTTTTCTTTTCTTTTTTTTCTTTTTTAAAAGTTGAGCTTATAAGATCATGCCTGGTGAAGCTGTGTTCATCCACTCCTCTCAGCATTAGTGGAAGAATTAGAGTATTAACGACCTTATAGACCAGGTATTTTGTAGCCTCCTTTACAGTTTGTCAAGTTGTTAAAAATTGATACAAGAAAACTTAATTATTTCTTCAGAGAAAAGCTGGACATGTGAACTATGTTAACCATAAAACTTGCCTGTCTTATGTTTCTATAAACAGCCAGGTTTGAAGCACAAGGGCAAACCTATGCATCTATGTGTATATACACACGTTTCTATTTTATATGCATATATTTACATGCATGTATAGTTTTTGTAAATTTATTCGTGATTCTTAGTGGTTATCAACTAAATATGAAGCAGTGTTCTAGCTGCTTAAAGAGTTGGAAGAAAAGGGTGGTGTCAACTCTGCGATTTTGCTGATCAAATCGAGATTACAGATACATGTTTTGCTTAGCCCACATAGGATTGTTTTAAATTACATTTTGCTGTGTTTCTGCTTTTAGAAGTTGAGAAGTGCCCCATGAGTATCCAGAGCTTGTAGCTTCTCTTGAGAAATCTGAAGGTCTTGCAAGACTAGACCTGCTGCCTTCCCCAGCAGCAGCCGTCATCTGGAAGGTGATAGTTGCTAATACCCTGAGTCAGGGGAGACTATTTCTCCATAGTCCTGGCAGCTGCCTACTGTGTTATCCCTGAGCTTCACTCATTTGTTTTCTGGCCTGATCCTATTGTTATTTCGAGTTCCTACTCCTATAGATCTATAAGGGGTGACTGAAGGGGTTTGGAAAAAGACTAGGTTGGGGGTCAGTTGTGGGGTATTGTGGCAAAAATGCTGGGTTTGGAAGTAGGTGGTCTCTCTGATGAGCTTGCTTATGCCTGGTATGCACCCATGATGTTTTCCACAACAAAAACTAGAAAACACTTGCCAAGTATCTGGGAGTGGAATAACAGGCTTGAGAGAAAGGTCCCCTTTTGGCATAGAGGCGTGCATTTAAAAGCCTTTATTCTGCTGCTAAATACTATTTGAAAGAGAATAAAATAAGTACAGTCTCTTTTGGGGGGAATAGGGTGGAAAAAAAGGAGTGTTATTTGCAAATATTTCAAAGTATTCTATAATGACTAATACTTGTAAAAAGTAACTTAGGAAGCCTTGGCAGCGAAGGGCAGAATGCCATCGGTTAATATTCCAAGTTTTGTGTGCCTAGTGAAGCAAGTTAGCTTGTAACAGTGCTTCAACTGGAAAAATCACAATTGACAGCTTCAATTCATAAGGAGCAAAGCACCACAGTCCATGAAGAAAGTAACTGCCATGGTGAGCACTCTGCATCAGGGAGAAACACACACACACATACCACACCACACACACATACACACACACATACACACAATGATCACCTTCCTGGAGGAAGAAGAGTAGTGAATTTTAAAATGAATACTTTTTATTTGTGTTTTTCTGTTATTGCCAACTTTAAAATGTACTCGTTTTGATTAAGCTAGGTTGTGTTACAATATTAGGAATTAATTTCAAACACATTGTGTTTTTACTTCAAAATAATTTACTTCAAAAAAATCTTTATGTGTATTTACAAAAATAGTACAGCTAGTAAAATGACACTGTATTGGCTTTTATTGCCAAAAGAAAAATTAAGTGTAATGCTTAATGAACTCTTTGAAAATTTTAACTGTTAGCATAATGCAACTCATTCTGATTTCCATTAGATGTATCTATTATATTTGACCCACATAGTTTAAGAAACCTGTAATTAAGACACTCCACTTTTGAATCATAGGAAAATCTCTACATCTTATCTTCCTTATAAGTTTAAAAAAATTTAAAAAAAAT
Source organism: Homo sapiens (assembly GCF_000001405.40). Lineage (NCBI taxonomy): Eukaryota > Metazoa > Chordata > Mammalia > Primates > Hominidae > Homo > Homo sapiens. Next base: position 146,415,713 of record NC_000007.14, read on the forward strand.
TTGCAACCAATCAAAGTCATGCTATTCCTTATTTTAATGCCAGTTTTCCTGGTATTTTCGATAAATTTAAAAAATTACAAGTGATATTTATATATGTAAAATGAGGGAAAATTCTACAACTATAAAATCAAATTGTTTTCATTTCTTAGGAAGTCAATATAAATGGTCTTTCAGTTGATAACAATGTCTGTTCATTCACATCAATAAATAATTTCATAATTCCAAGGCTCTCTTTATCCAATTGTATTTTAAAGAGTACACATTTTGTGATAGTTTATAAATTAAAGGATATATATTCAAAGTCACATAAAAAATATTTGAGTTAATTACAAAGTAATCATGGAAGAATATTCCTTACATTTCTATTTATTATTGCATGAAAATGGATAATTTCATAACTTTTTATATATAAGATTCCAACTGGCCTTTATTTCATTACATATAAAATGAAAAAAGATGAGTTGATCTGACAGCACAGCCCAAGTTTTCAAAATTTGTTAATGTTATTGTATTGTCAACACTAAATGTTAAATATATATACACACATATATATACATATATACCTATATATATACCTATATATATAATATAAAATGCTAAGAATATAAATGTTAAGGACGTACATCCACATTTTGACCTGCTCCATTTCCGACCTGGGTCAGTTTGCCTCTCGTTTGCAACCACATTACACACAGCTCCTGAGAGGTCACCACATTGATGCCAAATAGTGCAGACATGTGATCAGCATGGCACATTATAACCAGGAGCTCCCAGGCCCAAGCAATCCTTCTCTCAGCCTCCTGAGTAGCTGCAACTAGAGGGGCTTGCCACCACACCTGGCACATGCACATTTTATTTCTAATTTAATTTTTTAAAAATATGCAGCTTATTATCTAAAGAAAGACCTTTCTAACCCTTCCATTTAAAGCCATAAAATCATACAGAGGCAAAAGGACTTCTTGGAGCTCTGTGGTTTTCCTCTGGTGGCTAATTGTGGTTAACTCTGCTTATCAGAGTTCTTTTATCTGGAAATGACTATCTTTCTAGTGCATTTCAAGTATCATCTACTTTAAGTTCTGATCACATTTCATTTACCACTTATATTTGGTGTGAATGCAAAGATGAATCAATTACCCAATTTCGCCATCTTTTTAAAATGCATAGCATCTATGCACTAAAAATACAATACAATAATGTGCAACTCAAAAAATTCCCCAAGCAAGAAGACTGATGATTTCTTAAATATTATGTGACCTTCTATCGCCTGATTTTAGAAATTCTAAGTGAGGACAACTTGGATTGTATCCTAAAATATTATGCTGTGGACTCACTCTCCATGTATACAATAGGTTTGACATTTGATAGAAATTAGGGGACAGCAGAAGAGAAAGAATTCTTAACTATGTCTGTACATAGTTAACTACCCTAAGGCACTTTAATTCTTGTCCATCCTTTATTCTAGTAAAACTGTCACTGAACCAAAAGATATATCTGTATAAAGAGCTCTGTACTGTCAAAAGTAAAGCTACTTGGCAAAGCTTATGAGACTTTATGTCAGTTTTCTACTTGAATTATAGTTATTTCACTAACTAGTTATCTTTTTCACATCTATTGTGACTAGAGAATGAGATGTAGCAGCAATCTTTGTTGCATGCCATTTGTAAACTAAATTTATGTCATAGATTTGCATGCTAAGTACCTCTCTGGTAAGAAGAGCTCTCAAAGGCAGCATGTTTATGCCACTATTTGTGATTAAATTGGAATTCTAAAGCAGACCCAAGTTAAACATGAAGACAACTTTAGATCTTGGTCTGAAGTCAAATATAGACTGTTTACTTACCATTGGAGTTATCTTCTTCTTCTTCTTTTTTTGTGGCTATTAGCAAGATAATCTGTGATAGTTTTTAATCATCTCTCTTTTACTAACTTCATAGTTTTAAAATTTTCTGTGTTTTTGGTGTTGGCATAAAAGGTATGTGTTCAAAATTCATGATTGGCTAAAATAATAAGATCTGGAGTTTGAAAGTAGTTTCAACAGGTGATTTAGTATATAAAATTATATATACTTACATATACTATGTAGTTATTAATTAGGTACCAGGCTATTGTCATCACATAAATCATAAACATCTTCACCAGAAAGTTTTCACTTATTCATTCATTTAACATATATATGTTGAGTGTGTATGAGGCACCAAATGCCACACTAGGCTGTCAGGTGCCATGGTTTACCAGATACACTGTTCTTGAAGTGCTTACCTTCCAGTTGGGGGATATAAAAAAGGCACAAACAAGAGAATGAGTTAGAGAAACAGACCATGTGAAATCACACAAACACATGGACAGCTGGATTGACCATTTGGTCCCATTTTTCACTGTCATTTAACTTCTTAGTCTTCCTCATCTGTGAAAGAGAAGAAGAAGATGTGACTTACCTGTTTTAAATGGTGATGAAACTCATCACAGTTTTCAGCTAGGGGCCAAAGCCCTGAGTTCTGTGTGCGTGAATGGTCTCAGCCTGGAGTTCTCTCTAGTTGCTCTGACTTGCATAACTCTGTTTCACTCGGCCACAAATTAAGTGTCAGGGCACATCCCAGCACCTACTTGACCTCCCTTAAATAACCCCAGTGAGGATCTCTAAGATAATTTTTAAATTATGAAATTAAATGATTAATATTTTTAAATAGAAAAGGTAGAAAAATGAATAAAAGATGAAATCTCTCTGTACTTCTTTTGCAAAGTTTCCCCAGAGGGAATTACTATCAACTGTTGGCTTTACCTTTTTCTATATATTTTCTAAATAGTTTTTAAAAGAGAAAATACAAAGTTCTGCAACTTTTTGGCTGGTTAATTTTCTTAAATTGGTACATAATGCGTATTTATTTTCTCATTATTAACTACTCAAATACTCTAAAATATATACAGGGAAATCCTTCTTTGGTACATTCTTTCTCTCACCTGTAACCCCAGGAAACCAATGTTATATAAAATACTATCATATCCTCTGCAAAATATTGTTATGATTTGAATTGTGTCCTCCTGAAAGAAGTTGAAGTACAAAGTCTTTACAAATGATCAATTTGAGATGAGGTCATTAGGGTTAATCCTAATGACACAGAGGCTGACATGCACAGAAGGAAGACGAAGTGAAGACAGGGACAAGATGGCCATCTACAAGCCAAGCAAGGCCTATAACTACCAGACATTAGAAGAGAGGCATAGAAATATTCTCCTTCACTGTAGTCAAAGGAACCAGCCTTGTTGACGCCTTAATTTTGCACTTCTAGCCTTTTGTATTTGTCCATTTTCACACTGCTGATAAAGTCATACCTGAGATTGGGGTATGCCTTTATTTTTCTATAAAGAAAATGATTTTTTTATAAAGAAAAAGAGGTTCGGTGGACTCAGGGTTCCACATGGCTAGGAAGGCCTCACAATCATGGTAGAAGGTGAAAGTCACATCTTACATGCCAGCAAACAAGAGCTAATGAAAGCTAAACAAAAGGAGAAACCTCTTATAAATCCATCAGATCTTCTAAGACTTATTAACTACCATGAGAACAGTATGGGGGAAACTGCCCTCATCATTCAATTATCTCCCACCAGGTCCCTCCCACAACACTTGGGAATTATGGGAGCTACAATTTCAAGATGAGATTTGGGTGGGGACACAGCCAAACCATATCACCTTTGGAATGTAGGACAATAAATTTTTCTTGTGTAAGCCACCCAGTTTGTGGTACTTCTTTATGGAAGCCTGAGGGAACTAACAAAGATTTCATACCTATGTGGATTGGCCATTTTAATTCCAATTATTATCAGAGAACAATAAAAGTGACCAGAAATATCTTCTTTTTATATTCTTTAATTAAAAAAATTCAATAGTAAATGGGCAAGAGTTGAATAGACATTTTTCAAAAGAAGACCTACAAATGGCAAAGATATGAAAAGGTGCTTAACAACATTCTTCATCAGAAAAATGCAAATCAAAATTAAAAACAGGTATCATCTCACCCCTGTTAATACGGCTTCTATCCAAAAGACACAAATATTGCAGTGTTTACATTCCTGCCACCAGGTTGCCCACAGTTATTTTGAACACTGAACTTCTTTGAAAGATGACTGAAGTCTACATATTTTATGCCCCTAACTACTATGGTATCTCTGGAAATCTGAATGTAAACATTGTCATGGTATTGTCAAAACATTAGATGGATTTAAGAAAATAATATAGAGAACTTTTTATACCCTGTATACAGATAAGGCCTGCAAAAGTCTTTCCATATAAAAAAAGGAAATACTTTATTGACAGAACTGTTTTCCCTTTGGGCCACCCTCTAGGAAGAGAAGAAACGGAGCTCTGTTGAATAACTTTTTCAGAGATTCCTGTAGCCCAGAGGCATCTGAGAAATATTTGTAGACATGGAGAAAAGGAAAATGAAGCAGTTGTCAGTACTTTACTCCATGTGCTGATTTTAACTTACACAGGTAACTTTGAATTGGTTAAAAAACCCAGGCAATTTGACTAGAGCTCATCTATTGGAATCTCACCTTCAAGCTTGAGAGTCTTGAATAAACTTATTCTTTGACTTAAAATGACCTGATTTCTTTTTGCAAGGGTTTCTGTTAATGAACAAAGTCTCTGTCTCCCCCGTCACTGCCTGATCTAAAATATCTTATTCCTTGAGTCTTGCCCATATTTACCAGATCATTGGAGACAGGTGCAATAGTGAATTCGCATTTTTAACATTTTTCAATCTAAGTTTTAAGATTCTATTATTGAGATGAAAATATTTCTAATAAGTTTTCTGGCAATATTAATGTGTGGGCAATAAACTAGGTATGGCAGTACACCTGCAAGAAGACAGTTAGATATGGTCTTTGTTGTCCACTGTCTCACCCCAAACTAAAGTCTTCTCTACAACAGTCCTTGTAGGTGGGTGTCTATTTTTCCATTAAATGTTTGTATTGATAGAGAGATGCTAAAGCTGTCTGATTCATTTTACTGAGGCTTGAAAAGTATGTAATGTATTCATGATATTACAATAATTCCATTGAGTTATATAAGACACATCATTAATGTAGGAATTGTAACATTTTCATTGTTTCATTATTGATCAAGTGATGTTAGTAGCAATTTGTAGGCACTCAGATCTATCTTTGGGGATTAATGAATGAAGAAAGAAACAAAAGTTATGCAAGCTTTCACATTGGACTGTTCAGAATGCCCTGATAGTCACATTTTAGCTGTTTATGATAACATATCCACTTTACTATGCAAAGATTTTCGGCATTTATATGAGGGATTTATTAGGAAAAATGAACTTTGAAGTGAAAGGACAATCACAGGTATAGAGTGAAAAAAGGTATGATGTCAAGAAGAGTACAACTGAGCTAAAAATTTGTGAGTTTATAGAAATACTGTAAGATTTGTCATCTGTTACATCTCCTCTTAAAATGATGAAACCATATAATGGAATTTATTTTGAAATTGACCATATTTCTCTCTTAACAAGTATGTATACCATGGTATTGACATAGAATTAGATTGAACTATTACTATAGCATCAAGTTGGCTATCAATTGTTTTATTTAAATGCATACAGAAATAATGAAGCATAATGCTAGTTGTGAAAAACATAAACAAATGTCCCTGGCTCTTGCTTAACTAACTTCTAATCTATTACTAGTTATAATGATTAGTTAGAATAATATTAATGTGTATATACACAGAAGGTTTTATGGAAAATGTGATTGATTTCAAATTAAAATTGAGTTTTACAACAGGTAGAAAATGCAGGTGCAAATGTAATTCAGAAAATAATCTTTTAAATGTTTAAATAGTCATTGAACTATTAGACATCTACATATTTTTTCATTTAAAGTTAATGATCTAAATATTTATAATTATCAATTAATAAGCAGTTTTCAGAATATTGCCAATATCTAGATGTATTAAAAGTCAAATCCACATTTATTACAATATAGATGAAAGTGAATATGCTAGAACCATAGAAGATATCATAGACATATATAAGATAACATATACTGAGTCTTCTTTCTACTCCAGGGACTTAGGCTCTTTCACAGAAGTAACTAAATCATTAATTACCTTTGTATCTTACAAATTTCCCAATTATATACTCATATACATGAATTTATATATAAACAAATATAGACAGATTTTTTTTACACATTGGACTTTTCTATATATTATAGATGCTTGTTTCACTGAAGAGTACAACTTTAAGATCTTTTTATATTAGCACACAGAAGTCTACTGCATTCTATTCAACAAAAGTGATACCAGTGCATCATTTCCATATGGGTAATTTTTTTTTAGTATTTTCACATCAACTGTATTATTTATTATTTTTTAAAATTAATTCTTATCTCAATAGCTTTTGGGATACAAATGTTTTTTTTTACATGCATGAATTATATGGTTGTGAATTCTGAGATTTTAGTGCACCTGTCACCTGAGTAGTGTACATTGTACCTATGGAGGTTACTTTATATGATGTTTATTACAGAAAACATTGCAATAAATATTCTTATACATGTATCTTCTTATTCTTATGTAAGAATACATATATAAGAATATATACATAAGAATATATATACATATATGTATGTGTATATATATGTATATATATATATGTTAGCCATTTAAGTCATAATTCTGTGTGTGGTCTTTATTTTCTACCTTCAAATAAGTTACTTATGCTATTTTGTCATTTCCATAGCTGAAAAAAATTCCATGTGTTATCTGGAAGACCACTTTTTTTTTCCCACTTGACATTTTTCATCTCTATTTGAAAAACTCTCTATCAAATGCTCAAAGCATGACAATTTGTAAGAGTAAATTGCCTTATAGCACACAACACAAAATATCCACTAATACCAATGCTGTTTTATTTTTATATTTTTAAATTAACTAATTTATTGATTTTGGTAGAGACAAGGTCTTTCTACATTGCCCAGGCTGGTTTTGAACTCCTGGGGCTCAAGCAATCTGCCTGCCTTGGAATCCTAAAGTGCTGGAATTGCTGACCTGAACCATCACAAGGCTCACAAATGCTTAATTTTTAAAGTAGTGATAGTCTGCCCATTCAAAAGAGAAGCTAGTTTACTTATACTTTAGCAAAAAATTAATTAAAATATGCCTTATTGGAGATATATGTAGTGCATCATAAGATAAAAGGGATGAAATATAAATCAAAGTCAAGATTAAGACATTTTCTGTCTTCAGCTCTCTGTATTTTCTGTGAAGAAAATACTGTTACAGCACTACTAAAATTATTTTCTGGCCTCTTGCAAAATGTACCTAATGCTAGTTATTTAATTATTGTAGTTAGCCACCTTTTCATATGGATTCTCTATTCTCATTTTATTTTACATTCCTTTCTTTCCAGTCTTTTTACCTCTTGTGCAACTTTTCTTATTATGGTTCCAATTTTCATTTCTTTATTTGTTCTCTCTTGGGAAGGAAGAATAGTCATATGTAAAATAACATATTGAACTTTCTGTCTTTTAAGTATTTAGTGTGTATTATAATTACAGTAGCGATCAATTCTATGAGTAGATTTTTTTGTTTCCTTAGCTGTTTTGTTCATATTTATTTTTCTGAAAATGAATATTACAGTTCTTCCCCTCAAGAATTTTATGATTGATGGATATAACATTATCATTAATTGGAGAAAAAAGTGCAGATAAAAGCCATGGAAGAAAATGTCAGAAGTTTTAGAAGTGTGTATGCAAGGAAAAAAGGGTTAGAGAGATGAATGATTGATTCCTACTCTTCCATCTTGAGTACCTCATGGATAAAGACAGGATATTTGTGCTCCAATTTTTAGCAGCCACCTGCTTTTCTGCTCCCCAAAGGGGAAAACTAGTGACAGTAACATATGAGAGGAATGTCCAGAAGCCTTGTCCAAATGCTCTGCGTCATGCAGATTGGCCTCTTTGTGTCTCCAAGTGAGTCTTCTAGGCATGGTATTCCTTTACACTTAGCATTTATTTTGCTCAGCAGCACTTAAATTCATAAAAACAGTTATAGCAAACATTTCTAGAATATATCAGAAGGTAGATCTTTTCTTTTTTAATTTTCAGGAAAAATTATACAATATAAGAAGATAGGCTTTAGTCAGATAAATCTTAAATTCAGATAATAAGGCTATGAAATGTATCACGTTACTCAATTTCTGTGATGTCTCTGAGCTTTTTGTCATAGGCGTGCTGGAGAGATGAAGTGACCCTCCTCAGTTAATTCTTTTGAGTATTAAATGAGATAATATGTCTGAATCACTCAAAATATTTAGTAACTGTTAGTTTTTTTCATAATATCCTCAAGGAGAACTTGGGGGAAATTTCATAATGCTCCCAATTTATGGTGGTAAAATGAAGACATTCAATGTGAAAATTAATCTAAAATGATGGAACAGCTGTACTCAGTGGGATTCATCTGCCTCGAATTCTCAATAAAGTTGAATTGAACTATGCTTTTGAGATCTTCAAACTCCCCCTGGCCCATTTTCTGTAATTCACTAAAACTCACAGGATTCGGCACATAGCCAAACTAACGGCTATGATTGATTACAGCAAAAGGATACAAAGCAAGATCAGCAAAGGGAAAAGCCACATCCAGAGAAAACTCAGTGCAACCTTCCAAGAAGCTTCTTCTACTGGAGTCAGACGGGACACACTTAATTCCTCCAGCAATGAGTTGTGACAACGTGTACGAAATGTCTACTAGGAAATCTTGCCCAAGATTAGAAGTTTAGGATTTTTATCATGGTTCAGCAAACGCCTTCTGTCAAATATATGCCACATTTCTAGTCTTTCAGTAGGAAAGCCAGGTATTCAGTATAAATTATTTAGTTTTTACAAACAGTTTAAGCACAATGGACTCCTATTATCATTTAGAGAAAGTTTTATATCCGTGTAGGGAACTATTTACCCTTCAAGTTACTGAATGCCAGTCAAGCGCTAACTTTGCAAGCCGTCCATTCTAAGAATAACAGTCTCAAGCTTACTATGTTAATTTGTTTTTGCATAGATTTCATCTAAAAACAGCAGAAAAGAGATTAAGGGAAGGGCTCAGAGAGAGTAGAGCCAACATGAACAGCAAATCTGTTATTTAAGTACTAGTTCTACCCTATGTAGTCATTAAAACACTGTCAATAAACAAGTGTTGCAAACCTCTCTGACATATTGAAAAAAAAATTTACAAATGAAGCCTTATAATTATCAGTGGTCCACAATCTAATACGTTTTCAATTTACTTACATTTTATTATTAATCACTAGGTATAAAAACAAATCCAGCAGGGGAAATGTGATAGATCCACCATGACATCCGTAAACACAACACTAGATTTAAAAACAAACTAACAAACAAGAAACAGAACAAATAATAATTAAAAAGCTCTTTTCTCCAAAATGATGTTTTTAATTTACCTTTGTATTCATTTGGGTTTTGATTATTAGAATATCCTCACCCTTTTCTAACCCTTTCCTGATACTTGATTTTTTGGATAGTTTACTATTATGTCATTTGTGTTTTTTGATGAGTATAAAACCCATTTTGTTAGGAGAAGAAAAGTCCCCATTACCTGAACTGTTGCCATAAAGCTCCTAGGAAAGTAGAAAATGCCCAAAGTTATTTTCCTTTTTCTTCTCTTAAAAACCCCTTTCCAATAAAAACAAAGAATTGGCAAGCAGCCATTTTGAGAGCAATCAGTATTGGTAAAGCTGATAAAAAGAGAAACATCTTTGAGGCTGTGGTCCCTTCTCTACCATCCATGTATTTTAGTACATCAATAATTATTTTTTGCAGAGTGAGAAATTCAGGAAACTGGGCACTTTGCTTTCCTAAGCTAAGGAGATAGGGCGCAGAATGTATTTTCTTATATCTGAAGACCCTTGTGGATGATGAAGGAATTGAAATGCCACAGTAACAAAAACTACAAGTATAATTATTGATTAACATTCTTGAGGGATAAGATGTGCCAGACTGTGTTCTAAGCGCTTTACCTATGTAACCTCATGTCATTCTCTAAGTGAACCCTATGTGGTAGGTTTTTATTATTATGATTATTGTCTTCCACCTTTTGAGGAGAAGAAACTACAAACAAACAATAAAAAACTAAATAAATTTTAATTAAAATTAAAAGTTAAAAAAACAAAAAAAGGCTGGGCCTGGTGGCTCATGCCTATAATCCCAGCACTTTGGGAGGCCGAGGTGTGTGGATCACCTGAGGTCAGGAATTTGAGACCAGCCTGCCCAACATGGTAAAACCCCATCTCTACTAAAAATACAAAAATTAGCTGGCCGTGGCGGCGCAAGCCTGTAATATGAGCTACGCGGGAGGCTGAGGAAGGAGAATCTTTTGAACTCGGGAGGCGGAGGCTGCAGCGAGCCAAGATCGCGCCACTGCACTCCAGCCTGGGCTACAGAGTGAGACTTCGCCTCAAAAAAAAAAAAAAAAAAAAAAAAATTAAAACTTAAGGAACTGAGACAAGGTGTCATTATACAAGTACCCACTGCAGGAGCAGAGCAGACATTCAAGCACTAGCACCATGGTACCAGAGCTCATGTGTTGCTGTTTTAGGCTCACGTTTGCCTCAGTGTCTTTCTGGGGTGTTTCTGTGTGCACGTATGAAAACAAAATGTATATATATATATATATATATATACACACACACACATATACACACACATTTATACACACATATACATAAATGTGTGTGTATATATATAAACACACACACATATACACATATATATCTACTTGTACACGTGTGTATATTATAAAACATTTTAAAAAATTTAAAAATATTTAAGAGCATTAATCAGTTAAATCAGTTTTAAGCCAAAAGTATTACAGTGACTCATTTCAATAACACCTTTAAAAAAAAAAAAAAAGCAAAACACAGTGAAACTTACAAAAAGAAAGAGTAAAATGCTAGTTGCCAGAGGCTGGGGAGGTGGAGATATTGGAGACGTGTTGTTCAAACGACACAAAATATCAGTTAGACAAGAGGAATAAGTTCAAGAGATCTTTTATACATCACGGGGACTACAGTTAATATATTGTGTACTTGAAAATTGATAAAAGAGTAGATTGTAAGTGTTCTTACTGCACACACACACACAAAACAAACAATAATAAGTATGTGAGGTACTATATATGTTAAAAAGTTTGAGTTAGCCGTTCCACAATGTATACAAATATCAAAACGTCATGCTGTACACCATAAATATATACAATTTTACTTGTCAATGAAAAAAACTGCTTATTTTCCACTATTCATCTAAAGTAAAAAGAAAACAAAAACTATTATAGTTAAGTGCTTCCACATATTAAATATCTGAAAAGATAACGTTATTTTTCAGAAAAAAAGCAAACCTCCCCTCCGTGATCATTAAAAAGATTATTTATATATGCATCTTTAAATAGATCGCTTTTAAGTTTCACCTCCAAGGTCATATTTACTTAATGACTTGGAAATAAGTGATAAGATAGTCTTTACTGGAAATGATTTAATTCTCTGCCATCTAGCTAAGGGACAAATATTTTTGGGAAAGAGCCAGATAGCAGATATTTTAAGTTTCAGGGGTCAATCTCTGTCGCAACTCAATACCGCCATTGTAGACATACATAATATGTAAATGAATAACTGTGGCTGTGTTTCAATAAAGCTTTATTATGAATGCTAAAATTTGAATTTCACTTAATTCTTTCATGTGACAAAACTTTATTCTTCTTTTGATTTTTCTTTTTACCATTAAGAAACATAAAAAGCATTCTGAGCTTAAGGACACTAGAAATCTAGCCATTGAACAGGATTTTGCCCAAGAGCCATACTGTGTTGATCCTGGATCTGGATAACAAGAAACTGCTAGGATTATCTGTGATTGCTTTGCCTTGCTAAAGTCTTTCTTTTGCCTATAGTTACATACGTTATTTTGTCTATAGCTATATATGCTCATTATTTTATCATCTAATGTATCTTTTTTAAAAAACTGTTTTCAACTTTTAAGTTCAGGGGGACATGTACAGGTTATTCAGTTTTGTTACATAGGTAAACATATGCTATGGTGGTTTCCTGCACAGATCATTCCATCACCAAGTATTAAGCCCAGCATCCATCAGCTATTCTTCCTGATGCTCTCCATCCCCCTGTACCTCCAACAGGCACTAGTGTGTGTTGTTCCCTGCCATGTGTCCATATGTTGTCATCATTCAGCTCCCACGTATGCGTGAGAACATGTGGTATTTGGTTTTCTGTTGCTGCATGAGTTTGCTAAGGATAATGGCCCCCAGCTCCATCCGTGTCCCTGCAAAGGACATAGTCTCGTT